>NT_187584.1:0-177092 GCF_000001405.40 Homo sapiens
AATTCACCGAGATAAGCGGAGGTTTTGGTCAACGTTCCATCAGCGTGTAAAGGGGGCACACAGCCTGTCAGGGGTGGGTTCCCTATTCTTCCTGTCAGGTGAAATGTGTGAATCTGGCTTTGAAATCTTCATGCTGACTTGTGAGTACAGCTGAGCTGCTGGGACAAAGGCCCACCATCCCAGGCCCCAAGTCCTTCCCTGGTGTTAGCCCAGGGCAGGGGTCAAACTTCACCCTCCAACACCTTCCTGGGGCCCCAGCCATGGGGCAGCCCTGTTCTCACCAAGGGCTGTCGAGGAGCCGCAGGAAGGCAGGAAGAAGAGGAAGGACAAGCATCTTCCAGACGGTGACTAGAAAGCTCCACCTGCCCCCACCTATGTCTCAGTCCTGAAGCTCAGGACACAAGGGAGGCTGGAGTTCAAGTGCCTGAGAGCCCACAGCCAGAGAAGCTTGCACGGGGTCAGAAAGACAGACGGGAGTCAGCAGGTCACAGCCCTGTGCCCACAACAGGTGGCAGGAAAGAAGCTCAGAGACCTGACAACAGCCACAGCAAGGACATGTGTGCACACAGGCCAGGTGTCTCGGCAGAACTGCAGACACTGGAGGGCCAGCCAGGCTGAAGTGCACATGGGCCACACAGGGTGGGGCTGGAGAGAGACAGGGGACTTCACCCCACAGGCAATGGGGGTCCACCAAAGTGCCTTGTATATAGGAGGATGACATGTGGATCCTCTCAGGTGGCTGTGTGGAGCATGAGTCAAAGATAAGGACATACATCCCCGCCACCGCCAGGTGCCTATGGCTATAAGAGCCTAGGCCTCAGCCCAGGGAACTGCGGGCTTGCTTAGGGAATCCAGCAAAACCCTCACAGCCTTCTGGATGGAGCCCCATGGCATGGATGGCGAGGCGTGAGGGGAGGCAGGACGTGGCCTTCCTGAGCAGCAGGCTCGAGGCACGGGACACACAGGCCACCACCACAACTTCAGGCTCTGTAACAGGGACCTACCCACGCAAAAGGTCCTTATCTGAAAGGGCTCCATCCTCACCCTAGAGCCCTCCACACGTCATTTTGGGGGACATTTTATTTATTTTATTTTTTATTTTTTTGAGATGGAGTCTTGCTCTTGTCGCCCGGGCTGGAGTGCAGTGGCACATCTTGGCTCACTCCAACTTCTGCCTCCTCGGTTCAAGCAATTCTCTTTCCTCAGCCTCCCGAGTAGCTGGGATTACAGGCGCATGCCACCACGCCTGGCTAATTTTTTGTAATTTCAGTAGAGACGGGGTTTCATCATGTTGGCCAGGATGGTCTCAAACCCCTGACCTCAGGTGGATCCACCCATCTCGGCCTCCGAAATTGCAGGGATTACAGGTGTGAGCCACCGGGTCCCATTTCATTATTTTGATTAGAAATGAAATGACCTGCCCAGGCGCGGTGGCTCACGCCTATAATCCCAGCACTCTGGGAGGCTGAGGCGGGCGGATCACCTGAGCTGATCCCCAGCCTGCTGGGGAAGGGGAAGGAAGGTGGCCACAGGCCCCAGCATAGTACAGACTGACGCCCTTGAAGTCCACACTGCACCGTGGGCCCAGACAGAACAGGCCTCCCGCCCCGCCCTCACAGAGGTGCCTCGTGGACAGCCACTGCATGGCATAGCAAGTCCCTGGACCCAGGCCTGTCCAGACCCTCGTGGGAGTGGGATATGAGCTCCACAAACGTTTCGGGGGGCACCCAGGCCCCAAGTCCCTGTTCCACCACCAGGGCAGCTCAGGAGCCAGGACACTTAGCTAGTGAACCCTGGGACCTGCTGCACTCCGGGGGACACTGAAGAGCTCGGGAGCCGACAAACCACAAATGCTGCTACTTAGAACCTGTGTGTCCAACAAGGAGAAGACAGCAAAGGAGGGAAGACTGCTGGGCAGGAGAGCACCCGAGACACCACCACTCCTACCAAGAAGTCTCTGAGGACAACTGTGGGCCAGGATCCTGCGTCGTCAGCACAGAGCTGCCTTCGGTCTGCCTTGGAGTAAGGGCCTCGGAGAGGCACGGGGTCACAGAAAACAACACTTTTATTTTCACATGAATTATAAATACCCAGGAACCCTCACACAATTCAGCTTGGCCCAGCACTTCTTCAGCCAAAAAGGTAGGAGGCCTTCCCAGCAGGAATAACAGAATGTACTTGAAGATAAAGGTTTTAATGAAAAAGGGTTTCTAAACCTCCTGACAGTGGCCACCTCCAGAAAAGCCCCTGGGTCTCCACACTCACAGTGCAGGAGTGAATGTCAAAAAGCACTCCCAAGGCAGGGCACAGTGGCTCACGCCTGTGATCCCAGCACTGTGGGAGGCCAAGGTGGGCAGACTGCTTGAGGCCAGGAGTTCAAGACCAGCCTGGCCAACACAGTGAAAACCCATCTCTACTAAAAATAGAAAAATTTGGCCAGGCGCGGGTGTCTCACACCTGTAATCCCAGCACTTTGGGAGGCCAAGGCGGGCGGATCACCTGAGGTCAGGAGTTCGAGACCAGCCTGGCCAACATGGCGAAATCCTGTCTCCACTAAAAATACAAAAATTAGCTAGGTGTGGAGTACGCCTGTAATCCCAGCTACTAGGGAGGCTGAGACAGGAGAATCGCTTGAATTCGGGAGGCGGAGACTGCAGTGAGCCGAGATCGCGACACAGCACTCCAGCCTGGGCAACAAGAGCAAAACTCCATCCAAAAAAAAAAAAAATTACACTGGCCTGGTGGCATGTGCCTATAATCCCAGCTACTCAGCAGGCTGAGGCATGGGAATCGTTTGAACCTGGGAGGCAGGCGGAGGTTACAGTGAGCCATGATTATGCCACTGCACTCCAGCCTGGATGACAGAGCAAGACCCTGTCTCAGGGGAAAAAAAAAAAAGCATTCCCAAGACCCCAAGCACGAGAGGAAGCAAATCCCTTCTGTGCATCCCAACGCAGAGCTCATCTCAGAAAGCTCTGCGTCCAGGTGTCCAGGAGGCAGCCAGCTGGCCAGGCAGAGGCATACCCTGGGTGGTCAGACCCATCCAGCGCCTGCTCCCTGCCCTGGGCACGCCAGGTACAGCAGGGGTACGTGTGGGTCTGTGGAGAAGATGAAGCCTGCCCTGAAGCAGTATTTGTTACACATTTATGAAGGCAAGGAGGACACAGGAAACTGTTCAGCAGAAAACGCTGCTGTCACGAAGGGAGAGATAGCCAGCTTTGGGAAATGAAGGTGCCCACTCTGCCCTCAAGGAAGCAGCAAGCCTCAACTGCACACCCGCCACACAGCTACCCACCAGCCCCAGGCAGTCTCAGGCCACACATCCCAGAGGCCCCGTGGCATGAAAAGAGGATCTCTGAGGGCATAATACCCGACTCCCCGGTGGGGAGTAAAATCACCTCTGGAGCACAGCCGGGCAGACACCAGGCCTGCACCCCCGTCGGCACTGGGGGTGGTGCCTGTGGACCATCGGCGGCTTTAAATTCTCTTGGCTGCTCCCGTTCCACCATCCCCTCTGACAGCTAAGAACAGGCTGAGGGCGGGCAACGGGAGTAGGAATTGGGTGGGAACAGCGGGTGGCAGCGGCCGGGCAGTGGCAACTACAGGTCACACAGTCAACCACGGTTCCCTTGCTCAGAGCCTGTAACTACTGCCATCCACTGAGCTTCCAAGAGGGCCTCAGACTTTACCTGGGGCTTCCTGAATTCACCTGGTTGTCTGGGAGGACTAGTGTTTCTTGAGAGACGGTGAGAAACATGGCCCTAAGCCCTCTGCGTGGCCCCGTGCCCACTGCCGTCTCCATGCTCTGAGGAGCCTCAGTGACTAAACGTGGTCCCAACCTGTACCAGGCCATACCAAAGTCCTGAACAGGTCAGTGGTGTCAGGTGCCAGCGTGGCCTGGATTTCTTCCTGACAGAGGAACTAACCAGCGCACAGCTCCAGCCACTCAGAAAGGAGGCAGGTGGGAGGCTGTAAAAGAAAGTAAGGGACAGGCCTGGCATGGTGGCTCACGCCTATAATCCCAGCACTTTGGGAGGCCGAGGCGGGTGGATCACGAGGTCAGGAGTTCAAGACCAGCCTGACCAACCTGGTGAAATCCCGTCTCTACTAAAAATACAAAAAGAAAAAAAAAAAAAAAGCCAGTTGTGGTGGCGGGCGCCTGTAATCCCAGCTACTGGGGAGGCTGAGGCAGGAGCCAGGAGGCAGAGGTTGCAGTGAGCTGAGATCGCACCACTGCACTCCAGCCTGGGCAACAGAGTGAGACTCCGTCTCAAAAAAAAAAATAAAATAAAATAAAAAATAAAAAGTAAGGGATGGTGAAAAGAAGAGCATCCCTCAGGCGCCAGCCAAGGGCAG
Organism: Homo sapiens; assembly: GCF_000001405.40. Classification (NCBI taxonomy): domain Eukaryota; kingdom Metazoa; phylum Chordata; class Mammalia; order Primates; family Hominidae; genus Homo; species Homo sapiens. Next base: position 4,357 of record NT_187584.1, read on the forward strand.
GAGCGGGCCCAGGGCCAGCAGGTGCCCAAGGCTTCCTGGCACTCGCCCTCCCAGGCTGCCCCCTGGCCCCCAGCTCCCCCGGCCCCCGGCTCTCCCTGGCCCTCTGGGCTGGCTCGCAGTGTACCTGTCCTCTGCCCCTCTGCAGGCCAGGGGAGTCGTGGAGACACTGCCTCGGGCTCCAGCACTTCCCATCGTTTCCGCCTGGGCTTTTACTTTTCTCTTTAAGAACAAGCTCTAAAATCTTAACACTCAAGATTAATACCCTTAAAGAGAACCCATGCCAGTCATAAGAAAACTGGACCAGTTCAAGACAAAGTAGGCAAAGACCAAGCAGATAATGGCATGGCCCACCGTGCATAGAAGCATCGGCCATATCAGCCCTCCTGCAGTAAACACGGACTAAACCTTGGCACCGCTCTCTGCCTGTCAACGTGGCAAAGATCTTCTTCAGAAAAGACCAACACAAGTGGCGGGCACCGACCTGTGGAAACACCAGCACTGGCACCACGCTCCCTTCCCAGGGACTTGGGAAGCATCACACAACCTGGGAACGTCCCCATTCCCACCGGCAGGGGAGCAGTGGACAACTCCCCTGGGTAGCAAGAGTCCCACTACAGAGTGAGGCTGGTTTTAATGTTAAGTACAGACTATCGCTGGGTGGTAGGAGGATTTGCTTTTGATTTTCTGGGTTTTTTTTCCTGTATTTTGTGTCTCTACAATGGACATGTAACACCAAGTCCCAGGTGAGCAGGGATGTGTCCTTCCTCCTAAGGTCCCCCCACCCCCGCAGGACAAGGCACATAGGACACCAGCAGGGTCCAATGGGTGCTGGGAAGATGAATGGCTGCTGAGCACAACAACCTGAGGCCAGGCCCTGCGGAGCCAGAGGCAGGTGCGGGTCAGCCCCACCCTCAGCACCACTCCTGGACTCCACCAGCCAGCGCTACCCACTGTTACAAAAGCATCAACCCAGAGGGAGCTGCGGTGACAGGGAAGGGTCCCGCTGTCCCTGCCCGCGGTTCCCTCTACCCACCCTGTGGGGCCAGAAACCCGGCTCAGTAAACCTCACCTCCCATGCACCTTTCCTTCCCTGTTGGAGACCACTGGGCCCATGCTGAGGTCCCGTTTGCTGAGTCAGAGAATGGCACTTGGGAAGCCCTGTGGGGTCTGTCTTGCTGAGTAGCCAAGGAACCCACCCAGGGCTGGTAAGACCACTGCCAGTGCAGAGAGACGTCTGGTGAAGGGGCGTGCAGTGCCTCCACAGAGAAGCCTGACCAAACACGAGAAAGGACAAAAGCCCACAAACAGCGGCTTCTGAAAACACCGCGGACACAGCCACACAGGAGCAGCTTATCTGCTCGTAGCCTGTTTTATACGATTTCTGCCATTTTTGCTAGGGCCAGCTTGCTGCTTGGTAAGTCCCAGGCAGTGTGGCTCGGTGGGTTCCGGGGTGTGCTCCCCATACCTCCCAAGACAGTCCAGGCCAGCACTGAGTACCGACACCCCCTCAGACCGGCGACTAGGGCTCAGGAACTCTTCCTAAACGAGGGGCTGCCTGAGCAGCCTCTCCCTAGAGGCGTCTCCCGGGCCACACTGAAGCCCTGTCACAGTGACACTGGACTGAATCAAGCTGAAAGCTTGGGTGAAGCCACAGAACACGTTGGGCCATGGCCTGCACAGGCCGACGCTCACCTGAGCGGGCACCATGAAAGCTCAGCAATGGAAACGCGGGCTGTCCAGTGTTGGCTCTGCCTCGGCAGCCCTCGGTGGTACCCGGAGACAGCACCTGCCCCACCTGCACAACCCCATGGCCCACAGTAGTGCCGGGCTGCACGCCCTGGGAGGAAAACTAAATGGCAGGAAGAGGAAGGTAGCCCGTGAGGAGGGCCGAGCCCTGCCCAGAAGTTAGAGGGAGAGAGAAAAGGCCTTGGTCTCTGAGGTGACCAGCCAGGGCCTCCTGAAGGAGGCAGGAGGACCAGGGCCTCCTAGAGCCCTCCTCCATCCAGAGGCAGGCTGTCCACTCTTAACCACTCCCACCCCCAGATCCAGGTGGCTCCGTGACTCCCTGACCAACAGAAGGTGGCTGAAAGGATGTATTGTCTTCCAGCCATTTTCATGATGGCTCTCCTGGGATGAAGGCCGTCCCGGCAGAGGCAAAGAGAGGCCACGTGGGGAGTCCTAGAGCCCAAAGTGTGGTCTGGGACCATGAGGTTAGCACTGTCTTTACAGTACCACAAAGGTGCCATGTGCCAAAGCCTTGTGGAAGCCACCTGGCCTGTAAAATTACAGCAGGATAAACACAGAACCTGACAGATCCAGCTCTTGAGATTTGCAAAAAGTAAAGCCACTCTATTTATTTGACTCTAGAAGATAATAGGTTTTTTTTTTAATTTTAAAAATATTACTTATGTTAAGATATACTGGGTTTTTAATTATTTCTAAATGAATTAAAGTTGTTTTACATTCTCAATTTTAATTTCTAAAAGATGAATATTCATAGCTCCATCATGTAAACTCAATAAGGACTTTTTTTTTAATTTTAGAGGCAGGGTCTCACTATCACTGAGACTGGAGTGCAGCGGTGCAGAGCTCACCGCAGCCTCAGCCTCTTGGGTTCAAGCAATCCTCCCGCCTCAGCCTCCCAAACAACTGGAACTAGAGGCATACACCATCACATCTGGCTAATTCTTTTTACTTTTTTGTACAGATGGGGTTTCCCTATGTTGCTCAGGCTGGTCCTGAACTCCCAGTCTCAAGTGATCCTCCCACCTTGGCCTCCCAAAGTGCTGGGATTACAGGCAGAAGCCACCATGCCCAGCCTCAACAAGGACTTTAAGGGGTCCTGAGAGCAAGAAGTCCAAAAACTCTGCTCTAGGGTGAGGATATAAAACTCTGCCTGGAGAGATCCATGTGGGGGAAACTGTGGCACCCCAGCAGACACCCATGACAGCAAGGCCCCTGAGGGCTGCCAGCCCAGCCACCACGGGTGGCAGTGCAGGAATAACCTGTGGGGCCAGAGCCCCACCCACCAGCCCACAGATGCGGGAAAGGTGATGAGGCCTCATGTTAGGCCCAGAAGTTTCAGGGTTGGTCACTCAGAAACAGGTGAGCAGGAACCACCCACGGCCAAGCCGGAGGCTGCTGAGCCATGCCCAAGATCAGAGACGCACGCGTCTGGAGCAGCGCCTGACACCTGACCCTGGTGGCTGACCATGCGGCCTGCCTGGCAGTCCTGGGCATGGGATGCACACCCGCACCCTGGCCCACCCAGGGGCAGAAGAGGGGACCACGAAGTTGTGTGTTTTCTGCTGAGAGCATCCACCAGAGCAGAGCTGCTCAGGAGGGCACACGGTGCTGCAGGCTGAGCATGTCACACGCAGAGCCAAGGCCGCCTGCTGGGAAGCCCACCGCTGGCAGGGAGCACAGCCTACGCACAGAATGATGCTCTCATGGTAATACTCCCCACGGAACCCTGCAGGGGTTCATTTTATTCTATATTGTCATCTTTTTTAACATTAAAAACTTGGCTACCGGTGACACTGATTATTTCTTTTAACCCACAATATTCATAAGATGGTTGCCAAATTGTAAGAGCAATCTGACCTGCCACCGAAGCCTCCTGAGCGCAGCCTGAGGTCTCCTTGCTGTTCCTCCTGTCCTCAGACTGTCCCCCATGCCCACATGAGCTCAAGGGCTTTGCTGGCACAGCTCTTCAGCTCAGAGGTTATCCAGGTGATACACAGCCAGGCTCACCAGTTCCTGCTCACAGAGGCTTCCCTCCCTGCCCCTTCGTCTATTCAACTGATACGGGAGCTGAGTCACATGCGCTCCTGCTGGCTAAATTTGACACAGCCCATTCATCAAAATATTATTAAAGACGACAATCGACTGAAAAATATTAAATAAAAACCCACGTGTCCCTGGAACCATGAGGGGGAGGAGGCAAAGGCAGCCCTTCTGAGACAAAGCACCAGGGAGCCAGGGCTCCCTCCATAGGCCTGCATGGCGAGTCCCCTCCCTCACCTCCGCAGGTCTCAGCTCAACAGCACCTTCTCAAAGAGGCCTTCTAGAGCTCCTATTCAAACAGCTCTCCCACGCACCCCCTCCAGGCACCCCATCCCACACCTCCTTACTCCCGTCCCCCTCGGCAGTGGGGAAGCTGCCCAGGGGTGGCTCCTGTTGCCTCTGTTCACGCGTGTCCGGAGCACTCAGAGCAGGCTGCGCGCATGCAGGCCTCCAACAGGAACCTGACTCAACCCAGATTCTCAGGCCCACACTCTTGTATTTCATGACACCACTGCTATGACAAATGGTCCTGTCACATGTGGCACAAAGAACAGGGCACGCAGCAGAAGGGCAGATGTGCCGGGAGGAGGAACCCAGAGCGGCCGCCCATGTAGAGGGCTGGCCGCAGGCTGTGGGGAGAGGCCAGGGCTGTGCAAGACAAACTCAACACAGACAAGCCATGCTCACGCCAGCAGCTTTCAACCCACGCCGGAGCTAATTTTATGCTCCTGGGCTCACGCCCAGGCCTGGCCCCAGGCTCAGGCATCTGGCTCCTCAGGGCCACCTGGCACCATCAGGCCTTTCCATGGGCTGAGGACAAGTCCCAGCAAAGCAGGAGTTAGGAGCTTCCGTAGACGGTGCAGGCCAAACCCCGAGACAACAGCCCCACCTGGGCTCCTGAGATTGCATTGCTGTGGGGATAGGGTCTGCCAGCCCACAGCCTGCACAGCCACCATGTCTGGAGGGGAAAAGGCGCTGCTGAAAGGGTGCTTGGAAGAAAAGTCTCCCAACCCGCAAAGGCCACGGGCAAAAGGGAAACAGCATGGTGCCTCCATGCTTTCCAACCCTCCAGCTTGCCTGCTTTCTGCAGGGAAAAGCTGCATACCTTTGTGGGAGCTCTTTGCCTCCCCGCCCACCACAGCGAAATGCTCGATGACACAGACCAAAACCACCACCACGCAGGGCGAAAAACAGGAGCTGCGGCACTTAACTCACTCACATTAACTAACTCACGTTAGCCCCGGGACATCCGCAAACAACTGCAGGGATGAATGAACAGACATTCCAGCCCAGGGAGCCGTGTGCGCTGGCAAAGGAGACCTTCAAAGAGAAGGGAGCCAGGGACAGCAACGCGACTGTGGCCACAGTCCACAGGCCAAGCAGTGCCACAGATCACACGTGGCCTGGAAGCCCTGCCCACCATCTCCTTCTTTTCTCTTTAAGCTTCCACATTTTGTTTGTTCCAATTGTTTCTACTTCCACTGAACACCAATGGGTGTGCCCCAGCCAGGAGAAATCCTGTGCAGAAAAAAACAAACATGGTGAAGGCAAAGAATGGGAGGCTCTTCTGGCCAAAGACAGACGGGAACAGCACACGCCCTTCCCTTCCAGACAGGTCTAGCACTGGCAGGAGGCTGCACAAGCAGTAATCACCACGGAGAAACAAAGGCCACGGCCCTGTGGCTCCCAACCAGCACTAAGTGGCCCTAACAAAAGTTGCAGTGGGCCCTGGTGTTTCTAACCCAGACCGCTGTGTGGACAAAGGAGAAACACTGGGGTGACAGGGGCATGGCACAGGGGTCCTCCCTCACAGTGGCCTCAACACCCCTCCTCCCGTACCGGATGACCGCAGCAGAGACCACAGCTTCCTCTGGAGAGGGGGTCTGGTGGTACACCAAGCCCCTGCTCGATCTGACAGCAGCACTTGGCAGGCAGACCCCTAGGGTGGCTGGCTTTCCCAGGGCTGGGAAGAGGCCCTCATGAGCCAGGACACAAGGGTGGCACTTGGTGGTGGCAAAGGTGGGGGCTGCGCTGTCTCAGATACACTCGTGATGAGAAACGCAGCCCTGCTGTCTACCAGCCCCCGACCAGGGGAGGCCGTCTGCAGCTCCCCTGGTGGGCTCACCCCCAGCTTCAAGGACACGTGTGCAAGGGTTCCTAGTAGTCAGTCCGAGCAGGAGAAATGGGAGGGGTGTCGCTAGGGGTTTACGGGGAGGCTCATTCTAAAAAGGGCTCCATGTATCCACGACCACTGCTTTTTTTTTTTTTTTTGAGATGGAGCCTCACTCTGTCACCCAGACTGGAGTGCAGTGGCGCCATCCCCACTTACTGCAACCTCCACGTCCCGGGTTCAAGTGACTTTCCTGCCTCAGCCTTCCGAGCAGCTGGGATTACAGGCACGCGCCACCACGACCGGCTAATTTTTTGTATTTTTAGTAGAGACGGGGTTTCACCGTGTTAGCCAGGATGGTCTCAACCTCCCGACCTCGTGATCCGCCCGCCTCGGCCTCCCAAACTGCTGAGACTACAGGCGTGAGCCACTGCACCTGGCCGACCACTGCTCTTTTTAAGGTTAATTTGGAAACGGGAGGGATGATGGAAAACTTTTTTTTAAAGAAGAGGACTCTGAATGCAACACCACCCTAGGCAAACACCTCTGAAACCCAGGCCTAAGAGTGCCCTGGTGGAGCCCTGATGGAAAGAGGCTATTCCTGAAACCAGACCTTCCAGGGCTGCCCGCTGGAGATACAGCAGACCTGGGCCAGCCGGCTTCTCTGCTCACACCTCCGCATGTGCTGCTGCTTCTTCCTGGGCCACCTCCTTCCTCCTTCCCTCTTGGAAAAGCCCTTCACACCTGCTCTAACCGAGCCCCCTGCTTTTGGCCGCACTCACCCACTCCTCAATTCTCCTGCTGCCTGGGGCCCTTCTCTACCAGCCTGACAGCTCTAGGAAAGCGGGAATGGCTGTGTCTCCATCTCTGGACCTCCGCCCCAGCACAGAGCCTGGTACACGGCAGCCCATGAACTCAGGAATCTGGGGCCCCCGGCTGAGGAACAGGCCCAGCTCACTGTCCTAAAAGTCACAGTCACAAACCGCGGATCAGTGGTGGAAGGAGAGTGGCAGATGCACATCTCCCCAGGACGGAATTGCACTTGGTGATGAAGAGGACGGAGCTGCAGACACACGCAACGCCATGGATGGACGTTCGCAACACTGCGCCGCATAGGACAGGCACACAGCCCGTGTACTGGGATTCCATTTGCATGATTCAGCTCACCCACACAGATGGCGGGAGACTGGTGGCCGCCTCGGGGCTGGAGGTGGGGATGGGGAGCAGTGCCAGTGGACATGAGGCTTCTCTGGGGCATGATAGCAAAGTTCTCAAATTAAACTGTGGTGATGGTTACTCAGCCCTGTAATTTTACCAAAAATTATTTAATTGCAAACTTAAGTTAACTTTATGGTATGTAAATTATACCTCAATGAGGCTGTTAAAAGAACTCTAGAGATTCAAGCAAGTTCAGCCTGGGTGTCCTCATAATCAGAATCAATTGTCAACCACCAGTAACATCCTCCCATGCGGCAAAGAAAAGAAAGAAGAAAAACAAGGTCATCATCACTCCATTCACATTCCTGCAGAGACACACACTCACGAGATTTTATCTCGGTCAGAGAGGAGGACCCCTGAAGGCAGCTGGGAGAGCCAAGTTAGTAAGCACAAGCTAGCAGCCCCAAAGAGGCCCTCCCCACTCACCTGCAGTCTGTCTTCAATCAGAGCTGAGTCAGTAAGCACAGGCCAGTGGCCCCAGAGAGGCCCTCCCCATTCACCTGCAGTCTGTATTCAATCACCAGCACTGTGGTGCCACAGCCCGAGCCCGCTAACCCACAGTTCACCTGCTGCTTGGAGAGTAACCAGGGCACTGGTGTCAAGGCACCGTGCGGCCTCAGAAGGAGCCAGGAGAGCCCCAAGGAAGGGTGCCTGAGATACGTGCCCCCTTGCCCTGGCTGTGGCCAGCCAGAGAAGGTGCCTGGAGGAGAGGGGCCTTTCCCCACAAACTCCACCACACTGGGCCCTGTGCAGGGCCAGCAGGAGGGCGGCTACATTCCCATCAGTCGGGAGGGGAGGAAGTGTGTTTCCTCTCCTGTATTCCCAGATGCTCAGCTGCTCCTGGGCTGTGCGTTCCGTTGGGTAACACTGACTGCACACACACCTCTTCACAAATGCCTGTTGTCAGTTGAAGACAAGACAAAAGTTTCTCCTAAACTCCAAACAGTGTGTGGTAGAGTTCCTCCCTTCCCTAGCCTCCACAGAAACCACCGCAGCTCAAGCTTCTCCTCTCCACCTGCCTACAACTCAGTGGCGCGGGATGACATCCTGTCACTGGCTGCCCAGAATGGAACAGAGCTTGTATACAAAAAGTGGAAACCGCTTTCAAGTTACAAATTACTCTTTGTAAAAGGAAGAAAGAGAGAAAAAAAAGTTTACCTTTACAGCTACTTCACCAGCAAACTCAAAGCAATGCCAAGCAAAGGAAACCTACGAGAAAGAGATGGTGGAGAGCCATGCCTGCAAACCTTCTCCGGAAAAGCCCCAGCCACGCTCATCATCACCAGTCCTGACGTGCTGGGCTCTGTTCCGGTTTCCCGAGCAGGTTTCCCTGCAGGGCCCCCGTTCCTCAGGAGCGGCTAGGAGTGCTGATGATAAGGCTGCTAGAATGCTCAGCAGGCCAGGCTCTTAGCTCTTCTCCCAGTGACAAGGAAGACGTGGCTTTTCACTTGCACATCCACAGAACACTCTTCCGGTGATCAGAAGAGAACACGGCAGGCAAAGGCACTGTTTGCTGCTACTGTCAAGTCCATACTTTGTCATCTGAGATGAACTAATTCAAAGAAATCCTTTCTTTAAACAAAAACTTTTAAAACATAAGAGACCTGTATTCCAAACTAACTACTTGGCTGACAGTGAGTGCTTTGAATTAATTAAAAATATCAAGAAATAGTCAAAAATAACACATTTCCCCAATCCCAGACTGACAGCTAGTTGAAGGATTAATGGCCAACGAAAGCGCTGGCAATGACCACACAAAAGCTGCTGAGATAGGAGCAAGCTTCTTCACTCACCGCTGACCCCTCTCCAGTGGCAGAGCCTGATTAAGTGAGCAGTGGACCAGAATGAGAGAGACCTGTGGGTCCCTGCGGCTCGCTCACTCTTCAGCTTTTACAACTTATTTTTATAGTAGATGCTCAATAAACATGTGAAATGAGCAGAGGGAAGGAGAGACAGAGTAGTCCCTGGGCCCTCTCTGCCCTGCATCCTTGTATACCAGCTTAAAACAGGCTCTGGAGGAAAAGCAGTACTTGACCACTGAAATGTACCTCTTAAAACAGGAAGCACAGCCAGGCGCGGTGGCTCACGCCTGTAATCCTAGCACATTGGGAGGCCAAGGTAGGCGGATCACCTGAGGTCAGGAGTTTAAGACCAGCCTGGCCAACATGGTGAAACCCCATCTCTACTAAAACACAAAAAAATTAGCCGGGTGTGGTGGCAGGCGCCTGTAATCCCAGCGACTCAGGAGGCTGAGAGGGGAGAATCACTTGAACCCGGGAAACAGTGTTGCAGTGAGCCAGCCAAGATCGCGCTACTGCACTCCAGCCTGGGCGGCTGAGCAAGACTCCGTCTCAAAAAAAAAAAAAAAAAAAAAAAAAGGAGGGGGGGAAGCATATATTTAAGGAATTGTTAAAGAATTCATGATTCACAACGTCCAATAGATTTGAAACCACATATGCAAAGATAACTGCACTCCATGCTAATCCCACTTGAAAATCTCACTGCCCTCTTGGAACTGCCCACTTTTACAGCCAGGCAACGGCAAACACCTCTTCCCTGGCCAGGGCCCTCTGAGGCAGCAGCTCCAAGGTCCTCACCAGCCTTCCCCTGGCACCCAGACCCAGCCTGGGGCCCATGAGATGAGTGTACCACCATCCTTCCCTGGAGGATTACTTGGTTACCAAAGTCTTAACAAGGGTCACAAGAATCTGTCCCCCAGGCTGGTCGTGGTGGCTCATGCCCATAATCCCCGCACTTTAAGAGGCCAAGGCAGGTGGATCGCTTGAGGTCAGGAGTTTGAGACCAGCCTGGCCAATACAGTGAAACCCCATCTCTACTAAAAACACAAAAATTAGCTGGGCTGGTGGCACGTGCCTGTAATACCAGCTACTTGAGAGACTGAGGCAGGAGAATCACTTGAACCCAGAAGGCGGAGGTTGTGGTGAGCCGAGAACATGCCACTGCACTCTGGCCTGAGCAACAGAGCGAGACTCCATCTCAAAAAAACAAAACAAAACAAAAACAAGAATCAGTCCCCCGGAAGCTAGTATTAGTTAATTTCTGAATATTCACAATGATGACAGCAAAATCCACAAAGCATAGACCTCAGTGAGTTTAAAAAGACCAACTGCTGGTCAGCTTCCAGGCACAAAGTACCTGCTACTTATGAATGTACACAGGTAATAATCACACATTCACAAAACGCACTCAGCTGCCTCCTTGGGAACCCGGCTGACTGTGCTGGTCCCGCTGACATGAATCCCTGTGGGTTCAACTCACCGGCTCAAGAGTCTACTTCCCACTCCGAGGCCTGGGTGCTTCCAATGCAGTCCCTCCCAGTAAATGCAGAAAGCAAGCAAGAGCCTATGATTCGGAATAAAGCAAACACAGCTGTGCGGCCTCAACTCTCAGTGTCCGTGGGTTTCAGAGGCCTTGCATGAAACACCTCTCCACACTAACAGTAGCCAACATTTACCACACGCCAAGCACTGGGCTAAGCCTTTACCTTGGTCTCTCCCTCCACAACCATGCACTGCAAGTCGTACAGTTTCCGCCTTAGGGGTGATTTTTTTAAAGCAGGTGATTTAAAGAAAGAGGTGAAGTGACCACTCACACAGCTAATAAGCGGCAGGGCTGGAACAGCAGTGTTGCCTCTTCAAGAAGCCATGAGCCGGCCGGGCGCAGTGGCTCACACCTGTAATCCCAGCACTTTGGGAGGCTGAGGCGGGCGGATCAGGAGGTCAGGAGTTCAAGACCAACCTGGCCTTGAAACCCCATCTCCACTAAAAATACAAAAATTAGGCGGGCATGGTGGCGGAAGCCTGTAATCCCAGCTACTCAGGAGGCTGAGGCAGGTAACTGCTTGAACCCAGGAGGCAGAGGTTGCAGTGAGCCGAGATCACGCCACTGCACTCCAGCCTGGACGACACAGTGAAACTCTGTCTCAAAAAAAAAAAAAAAGACATGAGCCCTCCCACCCCATGGTTGGTCCCCCGAGCCATCTGTACAGCTGCCCTGACCCCTACACTCTGGCTCCAGGCCGATCCCCGCTGCACTGGGCACTTCTGCCGTCTCTTGATTCATCCCATTCTGCTTGTCTTCCCTGCTCTCCCCGTCACTGAAGTCCATGCAATGCGATGCCAAGAACGGTTCTAATTCCTCTCCTTGGTTATCCTGACAACAACCCCCCGACCCCGCGCCCCCACGCCGCCCCTTCGACTCCCAAGGGCCTGAGAGACACTGAAACAAAATGTCCATCAAGCCTTTCACTCCACTTTCTGAACTTCGGTGTCTACACAAGTCCTTCCACCGGCCAAAACCAAGAGCAACGGCTCCCCACTCCCACCCCAGGCCCCTGGAATGAGTAAGCGGACTCTGGACAGGCGCTATAGGGGTAGCTACAGGGACAGGCAGAGATGCGCAAGGACCACGCTGTCGGGTGAAAATGCCTGTCCTTATTGCTCTTCCAAAGGAAAAAAGTTTTGTTTTTTTTTAAATCACTATAGCCAGAATAACTGCTGCGGGCAAAGCGGCGACGCTTTAGCTGCTATACCGCTTCTCCGGTTTCCAGCAAGCTAAACACAGAAGCGGATGGGAGGGGAAGGCGGCCGCGGCTCCCCAGCTAAGAGCCAGCAGTTTCTCCGGCTTCCTTCCTACTCCACCCTCCTGCCCCGGCCGCCCGCGGACCGCAGCAAGATCTGCACCTCGCCGGGACCCTCCGCGGGTCCGCAGCCCGCAACACCCAGTCCTGCTCCCCTCCTTGGCCACAGCCCCGCGAGTATCTCAGGAAACTGGGGTCTTTCACTTCTTTTTCCTTTTTCTTAAGGAACTTGTCTCTACCGGTGTTCAAGTTACTTAGTCCAGAAGCGAGCCCCGCGCAGGGAGCGGAGCGGGCAGGGAAAGCTGCGAGGCCCCGGCCCACCGACAGCCGGGCGCGCGGGGCGGCCGGGCCAGGCCTCTGACGGGACCAGAACCGGGCTGCCCCCGAGACGCCCGCCCCGGCCCGGCCCGCCCAGGACAGGCGCGTCTGCTCCGCCCGCTCCGCCCGGGCCCGATGCCCTTGAGCGGCGGTGCCCGCACGGAGCCCCGCAACTCACTCGCGCTCCGACCGCCCCGCCCGGCGCCCGCCCGGCGCCCGCCCGAGCCCGGCCCGGCCGCAGACTCACCCCATGAGCCAGTCCATGGCTGCGCGGGGCCGCCGCGCCCGCTGCCCGACGCGATCGGCCTCAGCCCCGGTGTCCGGAAGTAAACACTGGCCCGCCCGCTCGCTCCCACACGCGCCGCCCGCCGCCGCCGGAAGTGATGCGCCCGCGCGCCGCCTGCTGGGACGCGTAGTCCCGGCCTCGCACCCTGCGCTTCCTGGCCGCCAGGTGTTCCTGGCTCCACGGGCTGTCCCCGCGCACCTGAACTGTCTCCCCACACCCCGGCTGTAATTTCCCCCTTGGGCTCTCTCCGCGCTGTCCCCCACGCCCTGGACGGTTACCTTCCGCCTTTGGCGCTCCCCTTGCTCCAGGACTGTCCCTCATACCCTGGCTGCCCCCTCCCTCCCCGGCAGTCCGCCTGCGCCACCGGCTGTCCTCTCCCACCTTTGGCCCTCTCCTCGCTCCCTGCGCCGTCCCCGCTCGGTGGGCTGTATATCGCCTCGCTCTTGGCTGTCTCTCCCCCATCCCAGACTCTCCCCTTGAGCCCCTGGGTGTCCCCATGTCCCCTGGGTGTCCCCATGTTCCCTGGGCATCTGACCTCCTAGCCACTCTGTCCTGGGCCCGGCCCACAGCAGTTACTCAGTGACTGCCTGTCACTGAGTGACAGGAATTCCCCATTCTTCCCCCGGGGAAGATGCTCGGAGGAGCACAGAATCAGGACAGGGAGAACGCAGAACCTGGGGGAGAGCGGGGAGGGACTGCTTCCCCCGGCTGAATACAGGGCGGCCGGCGGGGCTGACCCTGGAGGGGGCGAGGTCAGCTGGCCTGATGCGGTCACTTGTCTGAAGCCCAGTGGCTGTGTCACTCCACCATGCTTGTCAGACAAGTGACCGCATCAGGCCAGCTGACCTCGCCCCCTCCAGGGTCAGCCCCGCCTGCTGCCCTGTATTCAGCCGGGGAAAGCGGCCCCTCCCCGCTCTCCCCAGGTCCCCTCCTGCCACCTGGCCTCTCTCCAGGCTCAAGAATGCTTAGGTATCAGGCAGGACTCTCAGTTACCATCAAGAGAAAGGCTTAAGGTGAAAAGGAATTCATAACAGATCCTGGGTAGCTCACGGCATTGCCGAGAAAGCTCGAGAACTTCTAAGACCATGCATCTGGGAACGCCTCCAGTCGCAGTGGCCTCCGTTCTTAGTCCCTTCTCTCTGGCTTTGCCCCACAGTTGAGACCAGCAGGCGAAACCTTTCAACCCCAGACCCCCCCGCCCCACCTCCCCGCAGCAGCAGGAGGCTGCGTGACGTGGTTATGGTCAATGGAGTCAGAACAGAAGTCGGCCAGGGAGGCTTCCCATCCGAATGAGAGAATGACGCCTCCGCAGGGAGGCGGTTTGACTTCTGTTTCTGCACGGGCAGAATACCTGGAGGGCGGGAACCAGGTATTCGGACTGCCTTGGTGGGAGGCATTGACAGAAAACAAGGACCGAGAAGACCGGAAGAGCTTGGGACGTAGATGACTCCAAAAAGCGGCTGCACCAGCCATGGGCTGCCCTTCTCCGGAGCTCTTGATGTGCGGGAAATGCAGACCCGGCACTGGAATTTCTGCTGGTCACAGCCAAGCCTCTTCCTGCCTGATGTGTGAGCACAGAACTGGGACAGTAAAGGCGTCACTGCTGCAACCACAGGGCGCCAGCCTCCCGCATCCCTGAGTGCTGGTGCTGGAGATGCCGCCTCCGCCGGCCAAGCGCTGCTGCTGCTGCTGCTGCTGCTGCTCGCATGGGCCGTGCATGCCGCTTTCCGTTCCAAGTTGGGCAGGTGCTGCTGACAGGGAAGCTGAGGGCGTCTGCCTGCACCGCCGTTGGCAGCTTCTCCAATGCAAGGCAGACCCGGCCTCCTAAGGAGGGGTTTCTCCAGGAAGTTAAGGTGCTTAGACGGTGAAGAACGAAACGGCCCACAACAGTCCTTCTATTTCGCTGCTTTGTACAAACACCGTTCTGCCCACACCTCACCTTACTGCCCTCATAGTGCAGCTGAGCCTTGTAGAGGTGAATCCCCACTCCCTCCAGGGCCCAGCCCGCAGCTTATCAGCAACCGCCAGGAGGCGGGGAGGCGTCCACTCTTGCTGCGTCGCTTTCCTGGTTGTAAAGCTCGTGGGTGAACATTGCAAACTTAACCAGCAAAAACCACCGGAGATAAAATAGGAAAGACAAAGGAAAGAGGAGGAACACGCATTTAACACACAGCATCTCGGGAAGGAAGAAAAGACAGACACATGTCACCAAGGTCTGACTGTTGAGTCAGAGGTTGCAGTGAGCGGAGACCGTGTCATTGCACTCTAGCCTGGGCAACAAGAGCCAGACTCCGTCTCAAAAAAAAAAAAAAAAAAGTGACAAGTGACAGAACTGCTTGTACTGCAGCCCCAGCTAAACCTTGTTCTCAATCTGGGGCACATTTAAAGCTTTTGCGCACTCTTGGGTCTCTTGCTAATTACTTAAGAGCAGCACATTCTGTAAGCACTGGTCAGAGAGGACAGGCTACCTTACTGGTGTGGCCAAGGCTGATGACTTCCTTCTCCCTGCTTCATGCTCACTTTGCTTTAACGAACCGCTCGCTCGGCTGGCTGCATCTCTTTACCTTGCAGAGTGACCCAACCCATCGTTCCTGAGGACAAGGAACCCTTGGTGGCCCTGACTGCTCCTAGGTGCTGGCCTCTTCCAGTAATGGCTCCCCTGAAAGTGGTTGTCCTAGGGGATGCTTCAGGCAGCCCCCCCAGGTTCCATCCACATTCCTTCCTGCCCCATTGGGTGCCAGCAATCCTGGCGACAGCCTGCCTGACTTGGACAGGTTGTTTAATGTCCCTGTGCCTCAGCTTCCTTTTTAGTGGAATGGGAATGATATTAGCAAACTTGTTTTAAGAAATCCTTCATTAGGCCCCTGGTGCAGGCGGAGGTGAGGAGCCATGGGGGAGTGGGTGGGCATGCTGGGCGTGTGGCCCCTGGCTTGGGCAGCTCTCCTGCCTTGGCCCGGCCCTCCTCCCCTGAGGATGGTATGCTGCCCAGTGCACCCCATGCATGTCTTCGTGTGTCCCGCCCAGATCACATGTGTGCTATCTCATGTGTTACATATTGTCTGATCTGGAGCCCAGTGGCAAGCCGGAACGTGCATCTCTAAGAATCATGTTTATTTCTTAAGAGGATAGGGCTTTGCTCCAAAGCCCTGGGGCCCTCCTAGCTCACCCTCCTAGTAGAGCTTGCCACCATCTCCATGTAGCAGCACATGGGGTGCCACTGGATCTGTTGAGTCAGAAGTGACAAGTGGCCAGGTGCAGTGGCTCATGTCTGTCATCCCAGCACATTAGGAGGCCGAGGTGGGTGGATCCCTTGAGGTCAGGAGTTCGTGACCAGCCTGGCCAACATGGTCTACTAAAAATACAAAAATTAGCCGGGCGTGGTGGTGGGCACCTGTAATCCCAGCTACTCAGGAGGCTGAGGCAGGAAAATCGTTTGAACCCAGGAGGAAGAGGCTGCAGTGAGCTGAGATCACACCACTGCACTCCAGCCTGGGTGACAGAGGAAGGCTCCATCTCAAAAAAAGAAAAGAAAAGAAAAAGGCTGGGTGCGGTGGCTCATGCCTGTAATCCCAGCACTTTGGGAGGCCAAGGTGGGTGGACTACCTGAGCTCAGGAGTTTGTGACCAGCCTGGCCAACATGGTGAAACCCCATCTCTACTAAAAACACAAAAATTAGCCGGGCATGGTGGCAGGCACCTGTAATCCCACCTACTTGGGAGGCTGAGGCAGGAGAATCACTTGAACCTGGGAGGTTGAGGTTGCAGTGAGCCAAGACCATGACATTGCACTCTAGTGTGGGCAGCAAGAATGAGACAAAAAAAAAAAAAGTGGCAACTGACAGAACTGCTTGTACTGCAGCTCCAGCTAAACATTGTTTTCAATCTGGGGCACATTTAAAGCTTTCATGCACTCTTGGGTCTCTTGCTAATTAGTTAAGAACAGCACATTCAGTAAGTACTGGTCAGAGAGGGTAGGTTAGCTGCCCCACGTCTACTTCCATTTCCTTTTTCTTCTCTTTGCTTCTCCCCCTCTTCCTCCTCCTTCCTTCTCCTCTTTTTACTTAGTAATTGAATGCTGAGCAATATGACCACAGGAAAAACTATTTTATCCAGCTTCCCAGGTAGGCGAGGTGGCCAACGAGATGTAAGGTGAAATTATTGCATAGCTTCCAGGAAATCCTTTTTGTCCTTCCTGTCTACCCCAGCCCTGTCCCAGTCTCCTGCTTCCTGACCAGAATAGACAAAAAAAATGATGGCTGGAGCTCTTGCAGCCACCTTGGAGCATGAGGAAGTGATGATGGAGAGCAGAAAGGCAGAAAGAACCTGGGTTCCTGCTGAAACTCAGAACCCTCCACGACAATCCTGATTCTCTTACCAAGGTGCTTATGTTATTTGAAAGAAATATGGGTTAAATCATCGTTCTTCCGAATTTCTGCTACTTGAAGGAAAAGACAATGTCTAATTGACACATCCATCGGTGTATCATGGTGCTGGAGGTGAAACAGCCCATCCTTTACTTTGAAAAGAATGTTCTCAGATCATTAGATCCCCAAAATGTTGCCAAATCCCTAAATGTTCATGGGATATATCTCTTGGCAAGCACATGTATATTTTTTCTCTTTTTCTTTTTTTCTTTTTAGACAGAGTCTTGCTCTGTTGCCAGGCTGGAGTACAGTGGCACAATCTCGGCTTACTGCAGCCTCTGCCTCCTGGGCTCCAGGGATCCTCCTGTCTCAGCCTCCCACATAGCTGGGATTACAGGCGTGCACCACCACGCCTGGCTAATTTTTGTATTTTTAGTAGAGACAGAGTTTCATCATGTTGGTCAGGCTGGTCTCGAACTCCTGACCTCATGATCTGCCCACCTCGGCCTCCCAAAGTACTGGGATTACAGGTGTGAGCCACCGCGCCCGGCCACACGTGTATTATTTAGCCTCTAGAGTATCTAGGTCCTCGGCTCCGGGGCCTGTGAACGTGGCATCATTCATACGATGTGATATCCTAAGAGACAATCAAAATCTGTGTGGACGAGGCCGGGCGCGGTGGCTGACGCCTGTGATCCCAGCACTGGGGGAGGCCAAGGCGGGCGGATCTTGAGGTCAGGAGTTTGAGACCAGCCTGACCAACATGGTGAAACCCCGTCTCTACTAAAAATACAAAAATTAGCTGGGCGTGGTGGCAGGCACCTGTGATCCCAGCACTTTGGGAGGCTGAGGCGGGTTGGAGACCAGCCTGGGCAACATGGTAAAGCCCCATCTCTACCAAAAATACAAAAAAAAATTAGCTGGGCGTGGTAGCGTGCACCTGTAATCCCAGCTACTCCGAAGGCTGAGGCAGGAGAATTGCTTGAACCCTGGAGGCAGAGATTGCAGTGAGCCGAGATGGCGCCACTGCACTCCAGCGTGGCGACAAGAGTGAAACTCTGTCTCAAAAAAAAATAAAAAAGTCGATGTGGATGAAATTGTGGCAGAGCGAATTCGAGTTTGCAGGACCCTGAGGCCTGAGTGGGGAGGTATACTGCCAATTTCTCCAAATAACAACACCCTGCTTCTGATGTTCTCTGTTTATTGGGATTGAGGTGGGTGTGGCTGCCTGATCAATAGCTGAATCATAACTGTTGATTGGCTCCAATAAGGACACCACGTCTGGAAGAACAGCTGCAGTTGGAATCATTACATCTTTCAATCCACTGTCAATCACCAACACTCTCTGTCTTCCGCACAGACAACACGTGGGAGTGAGACTGGAATCCTAGAGGGGCCCCTTCTCTGCAACTTTGGGGTCTGGGAGGGTGGCACCCATTTCTGGGCATCTCTGGAGATTAAGGTTTGCTTTTGGTTGACAGTTCTGGCAGGAAGGAAGACCCATAGCGTTTCCCACTCAGCCCTCTCCTCCTTCCATTCACCCATTCATCTGACAAATAGGTAGTGAGTGCCAACTACGTACAAGGACAAGGCACTTGTAAGGCGCCTGGAGAACAGTAGTAGACACAACAGACTAAAGCCTCCCCTTGAGGAGCTGTGGAGTGTCAGTGAAAAAAATAATAAAGCAGGCAGCGCATTCAAAATGACCAGTACCCTGGGGTAAACAGAGCCAGGGAGAGGGTCACGGCACACTCAGTGTCATGGGCTGACGCGTGTCCCCTGGAAAGATAAGAGGCAGTTCTAACCCCTAGTACCAGTAAGGTCTGAAAGGGACCTTATCTGGAAAAAGAGTCACTGCAGACGTCATTTTTTGTTGTTGTTGTTTGTTTGAGATGGAGTTTTGCTCTTGTTGCCCAGGCTGGAGTGCAATGGTGCGATCTCGGCTCACTGCAACCTCTGCCTCCCAGGTTCAATTGATTCTCCTGCCTCAGCCTCCTGAGTAGCTGGGATTACAGGTGTCCACCACCACGCTCGGCTAATTTTTATGTTTTTAGTAGAAACGATGTTTCACCACATTGGCCAGATTGGTCTCGATTATAGGCGTGAGCCCCCATGCCCTGTCCACAGATGTCATTTGTTAAGATGAGGTCCTGGTGGGGTGGGGGCTTCCAATCCTATATGACTGGTGACCTTATAAAAAGGAGGAATTTAGGCTGGGTGCGGTGGCTCACGCCTGTAATCCCAGCACTTTGGGAGGCAGAGGCGGGTGGATCACCTGAGATCAGGAGTTCGAGACCAGCCTGGCCAACATGGTGAAACGCTGTCTCTACTAAAAATACAAAAATTAGCTGGGCCTGGTGGTGGGCGCCTGTAATCCCAGCTACTCGGGAGGCTGAGACAGGAGAATCGCTTGAACCCGAGAGGCAGAGGTTGTAGTGAGCCAGGATCACACCACTGCACTCCAGCCTGAGTGACAGAGAGACTGTCTCAAAAAAAATAAAAAGGGTCGGGGGGAGTTTGGACACAGCCTCACGTAGAGAAGACAGTGTGAAGAGACACAGGAAGGAGAAGGCCATCTACAACACAAACCGAGGAGCGACACCTGGAGCAGACCCTTCCTCACAGCCCTCAGAAGAAACCAGCCCTGGTGATGCTGACAATGTCAGACTTCTGGCCTCCAGGACTGAGAGACAGTCCATTTCTGTGGATTGAAGCCGCCTCGTGACAGCCCCTGCCCTTTCTAATCAGGCTCCTTCCTTCTGCCTGGCTCTAGAGCAGCCCCAGGGGCTGCTGTGCCCACTGGGAGTTCCTGGCCAGAGAAGTGAGGGGCTTGATTTTCCCAATCATGCTTCCATCTAGACTGGGGACCCCTTACAGGCAGGACCTTTGTGGAGATCCTCGGGCAGCTGTCCTCCACTGTGGGGTGGAAAGCTGGGGCTTCCAGGATAAGGGTGACCTCATGGCATGTTTCAGGGGAAAGACCTGATTCCCCAGTCAACCGCTGACTCCAGGATGCAGGCCAAGCCCTGCGGGGTCATTCACGGACTCTGCTCTGACCCTGTCTGTCCTTCTCTCGGGCCCACTCATTGCCTTTCGGGGCCAGCAGGGGACATAGCTGGTGCTCAGCGTCCCCTCTCTGTCCCAGGCTGCGCCGCCGAGAGGCCTTGGCACGGGGTAGGCCTCGTGACACACACATTCTCCTACGCTGCAGAGCCTGGAGAACAATGGCTCCCTCTCACCTCTGAGCTGGTTCTTGTGCTTGGGACAGTCCCCAGTGAGGCTGAGGGTAGCCACAGCTGCCAGCGCCTGCCTGGGCAGCCCCTCCATCCCCAGCACCCCCATGGTTCAGCATTCCCTGTACCTCCTAGACCTGAACAGAGTCTGATTTGGGGATGGTGGCGCAGAAGCCTGCCCTGCCTCCCGGTCCCAAGGTGCCGCCAGCTCTTCCAAGCCTTCAACAAACGCCTCAGATGCCCTCCTGCTGATCGCACTGTGCCTGCTGTCCTGCTCCTGCTCCCTCACTTAATCCCCAGGCAGTGACAATCCAGAGAGGAGGCTGAGGCTCCTGGAGGACCAGAGGCTTGTCCGAGGTCACTCAGCGAGTGGGCGGGCAGCTGGGGTTCCAGAAACATCTGCTCTCAAGCCCGCCATTGTCCCACCATGACCTGCCTACCAAAGGGATGCTCCTCCCTGGGTCTTGAGGAAACAGTCAAGGTGGTCACCCTTGGGAGCAGGCTGGGCAGTGTTCTCCAGGCTTCAGTCATCCCCGCCTCCCCTCCAGAGGCCAGGACAGCCCCTGCATTTGGCTTAGCTCTCCGTGGGGGCCTGGTGCCCCTGGGGTGACCGGAATGCAGGCAGGGCATGAGGATGCTGATAATCAGTGTCACCTGGGATTATGGCTGGGGCCGTCCCATGAGCCAGGTGCAGCCGAAAGCTCCGTGTGCATGACCTGAAGCAGCTGCCAGTGCTCTCTGAGAGGGTGCCCTCTGCCTCCCTATCTCCAGGTGTGGCTAAGTAAACAGGCCACGGCGGCACCACAGGGAGGCAGGCTGGGTGCTCCTGCTCATCTCTGGTGGATGCTGCTACCCACATCCAGGGCTGTCACCTGCCCATTCACGCACGGCCCTCCAGGCCACTTCCTCCCCCAGGACCTGCAGGCGGCTGCAACAACCCCCATCAAAGGTCCCGCTAGCCAGGATTCACTGAGGTCCAGTAGAGGGAGGGCTGCAGCCTCTGCTCCCAGAAAGCTGCCCTGTCCTGGCCAGGAGCAGTGGCTCATGCCTGTAATCCCAGCACTTTGGGAGGCCGAGACAGGTGTATCACCTGAGGTCTGGAGTTCAATACCAGCCTAGCCAACATGGTGAAACCCTGTTTCTACTGAAAATACAAAAATTAGCCAGGCGTAGTGGCACATGCCTGTAGTCCCAGCTACTCGGGAGGCTGAGGCAGGAGAATCACTTGAACCTGGGAGGCAGAGGTTGCAGTGAGCTGAGATGGTGCCACTGCACTCTAGCCTGGGTGACAGAGCAAGACTTTGTCTCATATATATATATACATATATATATATATGTACACATATATATACATATATATGTACACATATATATACATATATATGTACACATATATATACATATATATATGTACACATATATATACATATATATGTACACATATATATACATATATATGTACACATATATACACACATACACACACATATATATGTATATATATAAAATATGTTTATTATTTTATGCGCACACACGTATGTGTGTGTATATATGTGTGTGTGTGTGTATATATATATATTTATTTGAGACAGGGTATGGCTCTGCTGCCCAGGCTGGAGTGCAACGGTACCATCGCAGCTCACTGCAGCCTCAACCTCCTGGGTACAAACGATCCTCCTGCATTGGACTCTCAAAGCCTTGGGATTACAGGTGTGAGCCACCGTGCCCCATCTCTGAGCATATCTTTCTGGGGCACACAATTCAACTTGTAACAGGTGCAGTTACCGGCCACATGATTCATAGCATATAGGGTGTGCTTTACCTGAGGCTGAGACGGGGCTCATCTCCCCTGGGAATCATTCTTGTAAGGTGCCAGTGATCTGCAAATGCAGATGAGGCCTGAGGCTGGGGCACAGGCCACCTGCCAGCTGGCAAGTGCAGGATGGGCAGAGTCCTTGTCCAGACCTGGGCAGAGAGCGCTCAGGGCAGGCAGCGTCCAGGCTGCCGTGGGTTGCTCCTTGAGGCCCTGACCCCCAGGGTCACCTGCAGGCCATTCCTTGAAGCAAAGAGGTGACTGACCTGGGGAGTTGGGAACCTGCCCTTTGTGTCCCCAATGAGCACCCTTCCTGCCACCCCCACCCGGCCGGGATCCACCACCCTTCCTGGCCGGTGGTGCCAGCCCCTAACAAAACACCCTTTCAGGCAAGGACCTGCAGGTTTGCTCCCCTTGCCCTGGGGACAGAGTCTGACATCCTTGGGAACTGACCGTTCCCTGCCCCCTCCCCAGCTCTAGGAACTACTTCATCCTGTGCACTCGGCAGGGTGCCCGGCCCTAGGTGGGTGTGTGGTCGGTCAGGGGCTCCCGTGGCTGCAGTCATGGGCTCCCCTGCACTGCGGGGCTTCGAATGTGCTGCTACTGTTGGGAAGGAGTTGCTCCTCTCAAAGAACTCCTGCTCATCACACAAGGCCTCTCTCACATGCCCCTTCCTCCAGGCAGCCTTCCTGAGTGGTGGCACCTTTTGTACACACCTGTCACAGAAACCACTGATCTCAGAGTGATGACAGAGGCTTGTTTCCCAGGCACGGGGGCTCCGAGGGGCCATCCCCAGCACCAGAAGGGTTCCACACATGTTAATGGAAAAAATCCACAAAAAGCAGGAACGGGAAAGTAAGTTACTGACATTCCACCCCTCCCCAATTCCCATTTTGCAGACAAGACCCTGAGGCCCCAGAGGGCCCAGTGGGTGCGGCACAGTATGGAACTGGCCCCCACAGAGCTAGCCTGTGCACAGGTTCCCCGTCTCCCTATGGGAAGGAGGAGGCACCAGGCCTGCTCCAGCTCCCTCTCCTGGATTGGGACACTGAGGCCCATTACACAGGTGGGGTACTGGCAGGACAGCTCTGCCCTCCAGGGTCCAGTGGGAGCTGCTGCTGCTCCCACAAGCCACGCAGTGCCTGGAGCCAGACTGGGAGAAGCTGTCCTGGTGGGAGCCTGTGCCCTGGGACACAGAGTGCATGGTGCACATGGCCAAAGCGTGGCCTGGAGGCGTGGAGGGTCAGGAAGCAGTGAAGGAGCAGGGCCTCGGCCTCGTGGGGATGCACCCACACAGAAACTACAGATGGAGGCCAGGAGGCTCAGCCTTCCTCCTGGCTCTGCCTCTAGCCAGCTGGGGTTCACTATTGTCCCCTCCATCCACTGGGTAGGGACCCCTAGATTTCAGGTCCCCAAATGTACATGTCTCATCAACAGATGCAGCAGACTCCGTAGGGAAACTTTGGAAATACAGATTCCTGAGCCCTGCCCCCACAGAGGCTGGCTATGTAGGTCCCTGGGCCCTGCATTTAAAGATCCCCCCAGGCATTGCTGGAGGGCAGGAGGGTGGGAGTCCCCGGACCAGATGGACCCTGACAGCCTGACAGCTTTTACTTATCAAACCCATGCGGGCCCCACCTCCTGGGATGCTGGCTCTGCAAACTCACCTCTGCGGAGCCCGTTCCTAGGACTGGTTGCCAGCAGTGTGGTGAGGGCAGTCTGAAGGGTTCCCGGTGGTGGTCATAGAGCCTGCACACGCCTCCTTCTCCCACCGATACCTGTTATGGGTGGGATTGTGCATCCCACATTCATATGTCGATGTCCTGACCCCAGTACCTCAGAATGTGACCTCATTATTTGGAACTAGGGTCACTGCAGAAGAACCTAGTTAAGATGAGGCCACACTGGAGTAGGGTGGGTGGACGGCCTTGTGAAAGGCTGCAGCGAGGGGCTGAGGCAGATGCTCCCTCCTGGCCCTCCACGGAGCCCACCTGCCTACACCTGGATCTTGGACTCATGGCCTCCAGACCTTGTAGAGACATTTCTTTTCTTTTTCTCTCCCTTCCTTCCTTTCTTTCCTTCCTTCCTTCCTTCCTTCCTTCCTTCCTTCCTTCCTTCCTTCCTTTCTTTCCTTCTTTCTTCTTTTTTTGTTTTGTTTTGAGACAGAATTTTGCTCTGTCACCCAGGCTGGAGTGCAGTGACGCCATCTCAGCTCACTGCAACCTCCACCTCCCGAGTTCAAGGGATTCTCCGGCCTTAGCCTCTTGAGTAGCTGGGATTACAGGTGCCTGCCACTACACCCGGCTTATTTTTGTAGTTTTAGTAGAGACTGGGGTTTCACCATGTTGGCCAGGCTGGTGTCTTACTCCTGACCTCAGATGATCCGCCTGCCTCAGCCTCCCGAAGTGCTGGGATTCTAGGCATGAGCCACCGCGCAGGGCTGGAGAGACGTTTCTGTTGAAGCCGCCTGGTTTGCGGTGCTTGGCTCCAGCAGCCTCAGGCCACACACAATATCCCAGGGCGGCACCCTCAATGCCAGGCCCTGCTGGGAAGTCAAGGGCCGAGGTGAACATGCCCTCTGCACGGTAGGGGATTCAGAGTGCCGCCCTGCACCTGGGCTGGGGGAGGAGCGCAGAGCACACCGGCAGACCAGGGAGGGGCCCTTCCAGGAATGCGCTTTGTAGACAGCTGGGTAGGGCTGGGGCGGACTAAGGGGCCTGCGGGGTCTGGCGGAACCATCCAGGTGAGGGCGTGGTGGCGGGAGAGCCAAGAACAGCAGCTAGGTGTACTGCTTACCTGAGAAGGGGGGGTGGCCGCGAAGGGGGTTGGAGGCGTTGGGATGGGGGCCTAGTCAGACGCAGGTGGCCGCTGCCATTTGGCATTGCCCGGTCTGGAGGACAGGGAGAAAACCTGGCTGGAGACACAGCTGGTCACTGACTGCCTGAGTCCCTGGGGCCGCGGTGTGGGCGACCTTCCTGCGGGACCCGCAAGCCCAGAGCAGGTGCAGGTTGTGGGTACAGCTGAGGCAGCCGAAGGACCAAGGGGAGGGCCTTAGAAGGAGGGTGGGCTGGGGGCGCGGGGTGGAGACAGGGCTGTGCCTTCCTCCCAGCAGGTGGGTTCCCGACGGGTGGGCGTGCGTGCAGGGCCCCCGGCCCGAGAACCGGCCCCAGCCTCGGCGGGCGCGGGCAGCAGATGGCGCTGCCGGGCTGCGCTCCGCCTCGGGTTCGGGGAGCGCCGGGTGGGGGTGGCGGGCGAGCCCAAGTCGAAGCCCGAGGCGGGAGAAGAGCTCATACTACGTTCCCCGGGCCGGACAGGCGGGCTCCGGAGGGGCGCTCGCCCCGCCCATGCGGGACAGGTGTTTGCCCACCTAGGCCCCGGACCCGGAGCCGCGCTGCCCACGTGCTCGGAGCGGAGCAGCTGCTCCCCGCGCCCGCCCTCCACGCCAGCAGTGCCTGGGGACCCGGACCCGCGAGGGGCGCGCAGGACGCGGGAGCCGAGGAGCAGCGGCGCTTTGCGGATGGAGAGCGCCGCGGAGGGCAGTCTGGGAGTGGGCGCGGCCCCGCCGGGCGTGAGGTCATCGCGAGCAGCTGGCGCACCCCCCGCGCCTGCCTCCCGGTCCTCGGAGCCCCCGGCTGCGCCCCGCGGCGCGCGCAGGTTGGGCAGGTTCTGGGCTCTGGGCGGCGGGGCGTGGAGGAGCCCTGGGGCGGGATTGTGACTGGGCGCTTCCTGCGGGGTTGGCGGCCCGGACGCCGGTGCCACCCGAGCCACCCAGCGATGCTCTGGGCCCCCTACGTCGGGGCTGACCTCACCGCCCATCCTGGCGGACCCCGCCCGCTCTAATGGGACCGCGCCCACCCTACACTGGCCTGCAGCCGCCGTCCTCCCGGCTGCGGGTTCCTTGCCCTCAGGGAGGGCGGGGCCGCCACCAGCTGCCCGGAGAGGTGGGGGGACCCAAACCTCCCCTCGCCCACACCAACCCCGTCCTACTGCCCTCAATCCTGCCCCTCCTGGAGTTTCTTGTTACGGTCCACACAGGCGAAGGGCCCCATCGGCCGCGCCTTGCCAGCCCTAATGCCCTCCGAGAGGCGGAGGCCCCACAGTAGGAACCCGGACTGAAGTCACTCCCTGGCGCTGCTAGGGGCTCAGGGTGGAGGGCTCAAGGGTGTCCGGGAAGGGCCTTCGCCCTTCAGCCTCAAAGCCCCCCCAGTCCTCTGGTTTTCTGTTCCTCTTTTGGGCCCCCAGCTTGTGAGCGCCCGCTGGGTAGGTGGGCAAGAGGTGACCGAGCAGAACCAGGCACCGGGACCGTCCGGTTTGGGTCTGGCTTCCACACTGGCTGCAGTGCGCCCTGCCCCAGGCCGGCAAAGTCTCTGAGCCCCATTCCTGCCGCTGGCCGAAGGATTGGGTTGGGCGAGGAAGATATGGAAACTGCCCCACAAGCCCCCCTCCCACCCCCAGGACGCCGCCCCCACCGGCTAGGCTCTGGGCAGGCCTAGTGTCCACTGATCTCGCCAATCGGCCCTGTGTTCCAGGGCTGTCGGGGGTCTCCTGGGCCAGGGGCTTGACGGAGGGAGTGGGGTGGGGAGGGTGGAGAGGCACCGGAATCTCTTTCTGCTTGGGAGTGGGGGCGGGCGGATATCAGGAGGGGCCACTGCCCCGCAGATGACCCAGAGCCGAAGACCGCGGGCTGTGGCCAGCGCAGGCTCCACGCGCCCCGACCCTCGCGGCAGGGAGGCCCCGCCCACTGTTGGGCAGGTTCTTGACTTCACCCTGCTTCCCCAAACGTTTCCGGGTGCAAACGCCCCTCTGGGCTGGGGTGGGATGAGGGAGGGGAGCCCTAGAATGGAGTTTTGTTTTCCTCCTCTGGCATCAGGTGCTCAAGCCCAAGCTCCTCCCTCCACCCGCCTCTGGCCCTTCCCTGGCTTCTATTTCCAGCTCTCCTTGGCTATTTATAGCTGCGACCGGCCGGCAATTGCGTCAGTCAGGGGCAGGCTTCGGCCGGCGATGCCAACGGTGCCACCAGTCCCCCTACATTCCCCTACCCTTCCTGGGTAGTCACCTGCCCTGCGCTGTCCTGGTCGGAGGCCCCAGGTGTGTGGGGGGCGGGAGTGCGTTCTGCAGGTGCGCTCAGCCATGAGGGCGCATGTGCTGGGGCAGAGTGGGAGGGCACTGGACTTGGTGGGGGGGGGGCAGCAGAATTCCTGGCGGGGAAGGGGTAAGCGGCGTCTTCCCCTTTCCTTCCCAGAGCTTCCTCCTGGGAGCTGCCTGGGGACAGGCCACTGTTCCTTGGTTTCATGGGTGGTGTCTGCAAAGACTGGGAGAGATGCCCCTGGACCTAGCACCCGTCCCCCTCCCCCCGCCCACCTTCCAGAATGAAGGCCCTTCACTGAGTTCCTCTCCTCTCACCCCACTACTGAGGCCTCCCTCTCCCCAGCATTCTCACTCAACTCCAGTTCAGCTCCCATACCCCTTCCCTCCCTGAGGCCACCCCCAACCCAGCCCCTCTGGAGGGGGACATTGAAGGGTTCTGAAGCAAGACAAGTCTACCTGCTCAGTTTGGAAGGACTGAAGGGCATCCACCCAGGCACTTGCCTAGTGTTTGGCAAAGGCCTGCCCTGGCATCGCCCTGCTTGGGGGTGGGAGGCACACGCATGTTCCCCTCGCCCCACCAGGATCCCCTCTGAGCTCTGGTCCCCACAGTCAGGGACCACTCGCTTCACAAACAAGCCATCATCACGCCTTCAGGGCCTAGTGTCTTCCACAGAGGCTCCTACCCCAGGAGACCCATTCCCAGGGGCAGGAGTGGGGCCTGGGACTGTGGGCTGCCTTACAGGTCTAGACCCTCACCCCTGGGCCAGAAGGCTGTGCTTTCTCTGGAGGGACTGTGCCGCCGAGCCCCAGCTGCCTGCAGGGATAATTGAGTTTCCCCACGTGCTCCCACCATGGACACAAGGCATTTGTTGTGAAGCTCTGCTGAGAATCAGCCCCTCCTCTCCCACCCTCTGTCCAGGGCCCGCCCTGCCCTGTGCCCTGCGCCCTTCCGGGGAGGTTGGGGCACCCTCTGCTGGTGTCCATTGTATAGGCCCCTCAAAGACTCCATGGCTTCCCCTTAACAGCAAGTCCTCCCTTCATCTTGCCCACAAAGAACCACTCTTCTTAGACACTCCCCCAACCCACCTGCCATTCAGAGCCCCATCGAGATGCACCCTCTTCCCGTCGGGCCTTGCCTTGGCCAGAGGCCTTCAGCTTCTGCCTGGCTCCCCGCAGGGCGCTCCTACCTCTGCCTTTTCTCCCATGCTGTGGACCTTTGCAATGTCCTCCTGCCCCACCTGCCCCCAGCCCCTCCAAACACAACCTGGCCTTCAGAGGCCAAAACTCTCCTCCTGAAAGGCTTCCTGAGAACTGGCCCTCTGCCCTTTCTCCTGCTCAGTCTCTTCAGTTCTGAGCTCCGGAAGGGCCTTGGTAAGTCCATCCACAGGAGTACAGTGGCAGCTGGCAGGGGTGCCACTGAGACCAGCCTCCAGCTTACTTCCAGGGATGGCTCGGCAGGCAGAGGAATGGTGCCTGAGAGACCAGGAACCAAGCCCAGCCCCAACTTGGCCCCTGACCCTCTAAGGGACATTGACCAAGCCTGTTCCTCTCCCTGGGCCTTGGAGAGGGTCTCTCCTGTGATGTCCCACTCCAAGACAGTTAGTATGTGGCTTATTCATTGGACATTCACTGGGTACCTTCTGTATGCAAAGACCAGGTACCCATCTGCAGTCCAATGGAGAATGGAGGTAAGCACAAGCTGGCTTTAATGTAAGACTAACAGAAGTGCAACTAACGCAATGTAACATTATTACCCACCCACCTTCGCTCCCTCCCTCCCTCTCATTTACCCATTCTTCCACCTCCTATCCACCCCATCACTTCTCCACCCGTCCATCCATCTGTCCACCTTCCTTTCCTTCTACTCCCTAGCCACACATCTACTTGCCTATTTATGAATACCCATTTATGTATTCATCCATCCATCCATCCTATTCATTCCTCCACCCATTCATCCATGTACCCACCCACCCCACTCATCCCTCTACCCATTCATCCATCTGCCCATCCATCCATCCACCCACCCACCCCACTCATCCCTCTACCCATTCATCCATTTGCTCATCCATCCATCCATCCACCCACCCATCCACCCCACTCATCCCTCTACCCATTCATCCATCTGCCCATCCATCCATCCATCCACCCACCCACCCCACTCATCCCTCTACCCATTCATCCATCTGCCCATCCATCCATCCATCCATCCACCCACCCATCCACCCCACTCATCCCTCTACCCATTCATCCATCTGCCCATCCATCCATCCATCCACCCACCCATCCACCCCACTCATCCCTCTACCCATTCATCCATCTGCCCATCCATCCATCCATCCATCCACCCACCCCATTCATCCCTCTACCCATTCATCCATCTGCCCATCCATCCATCCACCCACCCGCCCACCCCACTCATCCCTCTACCCATTCATTCATCTGCCCATCCATCCATCCATCCACCCACCCACCCCACTCATCCCTCTACCCATTCGTCCATCTGCCCATCCATCCATCCATCCACCCACCCATCCACCCCACTCATCCCTCTACCCATTCATCATCTGCCTATCCATCCATCCAACCACCCACCCCACTCATCCCTCTACCCATTCATCCATTTGCTCATCCATCCATCCACCCACCCACCCCACTCATCCCTCTACCCATTCATCCATCTGCCCATCCATCCATCCACCCACCCACCCCACTCATCCCTCTACCCATTCATCCATCTGCCCATCCATCCATCCATCCACCCACCCATCCACCCCACTCATCCCTCTACCCATTCATCCATCTGCCCATCCATCCATCCATCCACCCACCCCATTCATCCCTCTACCCATTCATCCATCTGCCCATCCATCCATCCGTCCACCCACCTGCCCACCCCACTCATCCCTCTACCCATTCATTCATCTGCCCATCCATCCATCCATCCACCCACCCACCCCACTCATCCCTCTACCCATTCATCCATCTGCCCATCCATCCATCCACCCGCCCACCCCACTCATCCCTCTACCCATTCATCCATTTGCCCATCCATCCATCCACCCCACTCATCCCTCTCCACCCATTCATCCATCTGCCCCTCTATCCATCCATCCACCCATCCCATTTATCCCTCCACCTATTGATCCATCCACCCATCCACCCCACTCATCCCTCTACCCATTCATCCATCTGCCCACCCATCCACCCATTCATTGATCCATCCATCCATCCATCTACCCACCCACCCACCCCACGCATCCCTCTACCCATTCATCCATCTGCCCTTCTACCCACCCATCCATGCACCCATCCATCCATCCACCATTCATCCATCTGCCCATCCATAAATTCACCTATCCATCCATCCATGTCTCCCTCCCTCATCCACCCATCTACCCACCCATCCAAGACCCATCCAGCAACTAAAGCTCTTGTCCTGGGGGGAGACACAGCTGTAGGCAGGGCAACAAGCCTTTAGGGGACTCTACGTAGCAGTTGGAGGCCAGTCCACCAGTGTTCAACTCTTGCTTCACCGCCTACTTTGGGCAGCTCTTGGACCACTAGGAGCCTGATTGAGTTGGTAAATGAGACCCCCTCCTTCCATCTGGAGTCTTACACTGCCCCCAGGGTCCTGAGACCTATGTGCCCCAGATGGGCATCCTAGGAGAGGCCGTCACCCACCTGCTGGAGCTGCAGGTGCTCCTGCGCACAGGGGGTAAGGGAGCACCTCGGTGCTGCTTGAGTCAGCCATCAGCTCTTTCCAGGCCTCAGTTTTATTGACTGCTGGGGGCTGCCTGAGTTATAAATAGATGTTCTTGAGCCAAAAATAGCCTTGCGGGAGCATCAGACTATGTTTCTAGCTTTCCTCCTTTTTGAGGACTCTTAAAGATGCAGGATTCAAGGACCCTACCTCCTCCTGCAGCCCCCGAGGAGGGACTGGCCCCCTCCTCTTCCCCTCTCTTGCTTCCTCTTCCTCCTGTCTCATGAGCACTCACACACACGGTCTGGACAGCATCACTGGTTGGGAGGGGTCCCTGGGAGAGGTATACTAAACCTGGAAGAAGCTGCATGAACCAGGTCTGTGTGGTAAGGACAGATCTGGTATCCTCCGCCACAGTGTAGACAAGCCTCAGCCCGGGCTGCACGCACACTGTGAATCTTTGCAGCCTGTGGCACCTGCAGCAGCCAGGTCTGCCCTCGGTGGGGGGTGGGGGGGGGGGGAGGCGGGGCTCTGCAGGCCGGGCTGGGGCTGCCTCCAGGGAGAGGACCCTGGAGGCTGGGGACAAGCCTGGGGGAGACAAACCAGTACTTTCTACCACATACCCTGGTGTGCTTTTAATCCTTGTATGACATGCACATTACTTAAGATTTGAAAAGCTGGTTGGAGGCCAGGCACGGTGGCTCACACCTGTAATCCCAGCACTTTGGGAGGCCAAAGCAAGCGGATCACTTGAGGTCAGTGAGATTGAGACCAGCCTGGCCAACATGGTGCAACCCCATCTCTACTAAAAATACAAAAATTAGCCAAGTGTGATGGCACGTGCCTGTAATCCCAGCTACTTGGGAATCTGAGGCATGAGAATTGTTTGAACCGGGGAGGCGGAGGTTGCAGTGAGCGGAGATCGCACCATTGCACTCCAGCCTAGATGACAGAACGAAACTCCATTTCAAAAAAAAAAAAAAAAAAAGTCTGGTTGGAGACACTATATATAGCTAGACCCCTATTTCTGCTGGTACGTATATGCACCCACACACATGCACACAGCACACAGCACACATGGAGGGGCTGGGAGGGAAGCATCCAACTGTTCACATTGGGATTGTGGGAGTGAGGGGACTGGTGGGTAACACTGAGGTTTTATATCGTTTTAAGTTATTTAAGCTTTTACTAGCCTGTAACAACCGAAAAAGTGTGTTTTACACCCTAAAGGTGCAGCTGAGGACCTGTGCCCATGCCTGGCCCCCAGGGACTATTCTCAGAGCTCACCCGCGGTGTGAGCCTGGGGCAAGTTTCCAGACCCAACACACCAGGCTCTGGCCTCAGGCCTGCCTCCCAGCAGCCTCTGCCCCCACCCTGCCCACCACCAGTCTGAAGGAAGAGGCGCGGAGTCGTGGGGAAAACATCCACTTTAAGCTTTATTACAACACATTGTCTCCAAATACAAAGGGAGGGGCCGGGAGCAGAAGGTGCGGCTGTGGCGGGAGGGGCTCCAAGGGGGGCTGAAGGGCCGGCAGCCCAGTCTACAGAGACTGGAGGCTCAGCGGGGGACCTGCACCCTCTCCTCCGCTGGACTTCCCAGCAAATAACAGGAGGGGCCGGGTCCATTTTGGGGCGATCCCAATGCCAGGCAGTGGCCAGGTGGGAGGGGCCGGAGAGAGGCTTGGAGAGGACTCAGGGCTGGGTCAGGTGAAAGCCACCAGGTGGGGCCCTGGCCCGCCTCCCGCAGCACTGGAGGAGGCAGTGGCCAGGTGGGAGGGGCCGGAGAGAGGCTTGGAGAGGACTCAGGGCTGGGTCAGGTGAAAGCCACCAGGTGGGGCCTCAGCCCGCCTCCTGCAGCACTGGAGGAGGCAGTGGCCAACACAGGACCTTCGCCCCCCTGCTGGCTGCTCACTTTGCGGTAACCAGTGCCTCAAGAGTGGGAGCAGAGACAGACTGAGACAGACAGCCCCCCTCAACGGCCTGCAGAAGGGACAAGGGGAAGGGGGAAGGGAGAAGGGGGCCCAACCAGTGGCCCCAGACCACTGTCTCCCGGACAGCACAGGGGTGGGGGGCGAGAAGCGGGAAGCCAGTGCATCCTCCTCACCCAGGGTCTCCTCAGAAACCCAACGCAACAGACATATGGGAGGCAAATTTACATAATTAATAATAATTAACCAATAATAATAAATACTTAAACCTCTAATCCATAGATTGCAAATACAACGATAGCTTATTTTCTTGGGGGAACAGGAGTGGGTGGGGACAGAGGGAACGGGAACAGGACTTTTGCTGAAAGGAGGGATGACAGGAACACAGAGCTGTGGGTGAAAAGAAGAACAAATAGAAGAAACAGCAGAGAGGGCGGCTGGCCGGGGCGGGATGGGCGCCTCCCTGGCCCTGCTCCAGGACTCAGGACTGGGTCCTGCCCTGGGCTGCCTCTCCGGCCAAGCCCCTGGCCTCTTCCCACAGTGACTGGCCCCACTCCTAGACCCTAGGACATCTGAAGGGCAGGGGTCCCAATGGCCCGAGGGGGTATGGGGCAGGGGCAGCAGGCTGACCCACCTGGGCCCAAAAGCCACTTGTGTTTGGGGGCTGGCATGCCACCTAGAGAGAGAGCACCCTGGGAAAGGGGTGAATGGGAGTTTCTCTCCTGAGCGGCCCCATGGGGGTGGGGGCAAACGAGGGGGCTTTACCTGTCTTGAGGCAGTGCTCCCTAAGTGAAGCAGGCCTATCCCAGCAGCACAGGGGCTTGGCTGGCGCCTGAACTCCCTGTGTGAGCAGCACCTGCTCACAGAGCCCCTCAGCCTGCAGGTGCACACCTGAATTCCAAGTTCTGCCTGGGGCATGGCTGGGAGGGGGGCGGGGCAGACCTGGAACAGAACCCTAAGACCACCCCCTCCTCATACCTGGGGGTCCAGGGCTTCCTGCCCAGTGGAGCCAGCACTGGCTAGCCAGGCGCCTCCTGCCTGACCCCCGGAGGCCAAGCTCCTCTCCTGCAATGGTGCCACCCTGCCCGGCAGGCAGCTCTGGGGGCATGGGCAAGGGAGAAGGGAGGGCCGCAGCCCTCTAGGAATGGCCTTTCTGAGCCACTCTGTGGCTGGACTGGGGCTCTGGCAGGAGTTGGGGGCACTAACACCTCTGTCCTCCCCTGGGCTGCACCTCATCTGACGTTCCAGAACCCCCTGCCCGAAGCCCCTACACACACTGTTCTATTTCTCAGCCCCTCTGAACACCCTGGCACCATGAAGCCCAATGCCTGTCCTCCCCTGCCAGAGAACAGCTCTGGGGCAACGGGCAGCGGGGTGCCCTCCTTGCCACCAAGATTTGGTGCCTGGAGCTGATGGAGGGCTGGCCGCACCTCTCCGGGGCACACCAGCTCCTGCTCCTCCATCCTATGGCTTTGGTGCAGAGCCCTAGGCCGGCGCAGAGAAGGGAGGGAGCAGGGGAGGTGGGTGGGGGGAGAAGGGGGGTTCTGCGGCTCAGTTTGTGGCAAAGAAGTTTTTTTTTCCTTTTTTTCACCTTTTTGTTATGTAAAAAGTGCACGAAAGCTCGGCAGCCTTTGCAAAGGTCAGCAGTGTTTCCTGGGGCGGGGGAACTGGGAGGGGCCCCAGGCCTGGCACCCAGCTTGCGACTGAAGGTGGCCTCGTATTGCTTAGAAACGTATGTTTCAGTTTAAATACCAGACAGTAAAAATAGAGCTCGAGGACCACCCGCACTGTTGCCAAATCATTGCCAGAATGAACAGCTTAAATAAATAAAAAATCGAAATATTTACTTCTCGATAAAAATCCCAGTAAAACCATTTACCTTTCTTTGCATTATATATAATATACATTTATAACGGGCCTGGCTGCGGGCGGCGGGGCCGAGGGCAGCGGAGGGGTCAGGACACCTCGATGACCTCCACGCTGCCCGAGAAGCTCGCCTGCTTGCCCAGGGCGGCCAGCTCCTCGCCGCGCGCGCGCCCCTCCACCATGCCCTCCTCGAACTCCATCTGGCAGCTGCGGCGCTTGAACTGCGTCTCCGGGGCCGGCTCCTCGGGCCAGCCGGTCCGCGCGTCCCGGGGCTCAGCCCTCGCTGCCTCCCGCCGCCGCAGGTCGCTGCCGCCGCCTGGTCCCGGGGCGCCCGCCCGGCCGAAGGGCGCAAACAGCACCCCGCCCGCCCCCTGTGCGCCCTCGGGGCTGAAGCACCAGGGCCCGTCGGGCGACGGCGTGCCTGGGGAGTCGAGCGGCGGTGCCCAGGCCCCGGGGCCGGCCGGCTGGCCAGGGCCGGGCAGCCCGGGCGCCGACAGGGCCGAGAGGCCGTGCCGCGGAGTCTGCCGGGCCGCATCGCCGAAGTTCAGGCCGAGGCTGTGCGCGGGGGAGCGCGCGGGGGAGCCGGCGGGGGGCCGGGGCCGCCGGCGGGGCCGTGGGCGCGCCTCAGGCGCGGCGTCCGGGCTGTCCGGGCTGGGCGAGGACAGGCCCAGCGCGGCCCCCGACGGGCTGTCCAGCTTGCAGAGCTTCGGGGCCTCGCCGGGGTCGGGGGGCCCGGGGCCGTCGGGCCGCCTGCTAGGGGCGTAGGCAGACTTGATGTCCAGGGAGAAGGAGCGCTTGAGGCGGTTAGTGTCCTGCAGGCGGTCCGAGGAGAGGTGCAGGCCGCGCAGGCCCTGCTGCAGTGCGCTGGTCGCCGGGGGCGTGGGGGGCGCGGGGGGCTCCCCGCCCGCGCTCAGGCCGCCCTCCCTGGCAGCCGCATTCCCTGTGGCAGCGCTCTCTGAGGTAGGTGGTGGCAGCCGTGGCAGCGGGGCCCCGGCGGCAGGACTGGGCGGAGGCTCCGGCGTCCCTGAGGGGGTGCCCGGGTCGCCCTGCAGGGCGGCCAGCAGCTTCAGGCTGCGCTCGTACTCCAGCAGCTGGCCCAGGAAGTTGAAGTTGGGCGAGATGGACGGGCGCCTGTCCTTCACGAACCTGCGGGGGAGGAGGCTCAGTCCCAGGCGCCCGCCGGGGCCAGGCTGCCCACCTGACGCACCCGCTGGGCACCCACGAGCTCATGTGCGCCAGGCTGGTCTCAGGCCCTCCTCCCTTGCCACGGGTCCTGGACGGTGGGGTCATTCTGGTGCAAGTGGGCAGCCGGGGGAAGGGAAGCGACGCTGTGAGCCACAAGTGCGCGACTGGGGAAGGTGGTACCTGTAGGCGTCGTCGGAGGACATGCCCATGGTCTTCATGATGTAGGCGATGGCGATGGTGGCAGAGCGGGAGATGCCAGCCAGACAGTGGACGATGACTTGGCAGCTGGAGAGCTTGGCTTTATCTGGGCAGGTGGGCCATGGGGGCCAGGTGAGGGCTAAGACTGCACAGCTTCTCCCTGGCCCAGGTAGGGGACCCCACCCGCCCAACTGCCAACAGTTCCGGCTACTTCCTGGGGACCCCTCCTGTGTCTGTGGCCACACACAGCTCTAGCCTTCCTCTAGCCAGGTCCCTGCCCTCCGCCCACCGCAGACTCACCGATGAACTCGATGGACTTGTCCAGCCAGGGCAGCAGTTTTTCACAGTAGTTGTCGTTGATGGGGACCCGCATGAAGCGGCTCTCGCAGATGAAGTCAGGCTTGGGGCAGGAGTTGCTGGCGTTGAGGACGTAGCTTATTCCATTTTGCGTCATCAGATCCTGGAGGGGCGGGAGGGCGGGTTGGAAAGGGGTGGGAGAAGCTCGGGGCGGGAGTGAAGGTGGAGGCTTTTCCTGCCCTGCCGTCAGGAGGGCCTTTAGAATCCTGGGAGCCTTGGAATTTGTCCCAGATCCCAGTGTATCCAGGGGAGGGCCCAGGAGGCCTCTCTGGTCCACCCTGGCACCCTGGGCCCGTGCGGGGGGTGGGGCACGGCTGGCCTCCGACTGCAGGCCCCACCCACGGCTGGTGGTGGGCTCCTAGGAATTTTATGATTGCCTGGGTGGTGGCTTTTACCCTTTTCCCTCGTCACCATTTTTAAAACATGGGATTCTTTCAGAGCTGGCCAGAGGCCCAGTGACATCCGCAGCTTGGCATGCCAGCTCCCCGCTCCTCCCCCGAGCCCTGCCGGGCCCTCCCGCAAGCCCTGCTGTGGTCCTTCCAGGGGCATGGGTGGGGAGCCTGGGGTCCTCCTGGGCCCCCACCCATGCTTCTCCCACACCCAGCTCATCCACTGCCTTCAGCTCCTTTCCTCCCTCATCCCCCGCTCCGCTGCCAAGCTGCTTCTGGAGCTCCTGCCCCTTTCCCATTGACCACCCCCCGAACTCCACTGCACACACACCTTGTTTAGGACGTCCTTCTGCGAGCCCAGGTAGAGGTGAGGCAGGATGCGGGTCAGGCCCACGCTGGGCACAGGCAGGCAGGGCTGGGAGAGGCTCATGGGTAGCAGGGCAGCAGGCTTGCCCTCGCAGAGGCCGGGGAAGCAGGAGGAGAAGGTGGCGAAGCCCCCTGTAGGAGGAGGGCCGTCAAGTGGGTTGAGAGAACACCTAGGGCTCCCTGTCCGCCTAGGGTGCCCTGTCCGCCTAGGGCACCCCATCTACTGCTGAGGATCAGTCACACCCAGCCCAGACCCGAGCCTGAGCCCAGCCGGCAAGCCTCTGGCGGAGCACCTGCTCTGCCCGCGGTGGGGGGAGGGGGTACTGCCACACATTTACAGCCTGCACCTACGCCCACATTCCTCCTCATGCTAATTAGGGGCTGACCCAGCTGAGGACGCCGCTAGGATGCCCGTAAAGGTGGCGTTGAGGTGGCTGGCCATCACGGCACGCGCTGGGCCCAGGCAGGGGTGGGCTCAGAGGCCACAGGGGTCTCCTGCTGAGGGTGTGTGTCACACAGCCCAGAGGAGAGGCCCTCACGAGCCCGGCCATCTCCCATACCCATGGCCTGGGGCCAGGCTGGGCCTTCCTCCTCCCCTGCACTGATGCAATGCCTCCCTGCCTCCAGCTGGCTGGGAGCCCCAGGCCTGGGCTTGGGTGCCAGGACCAGGAGGCCAGGGCTTCCGAGAGGCCCTCCCCGTCCCCAGGCATGACATCACCCTGGCACAGCCCTCGGGGCATTTGCTGTCTGGTTATGGCTGTACTCCACCCAGCAGGGGAGGACGGAGAGTGGAGAAGCCCGGGGCACTGGGGGCACGCAGAGCAGGCAGTGGGCACCCGCTGCACACGTGACCAGCGTGTGCTGCTGCCTTCCACACACGTCCAAGTCCGAGGCCACAGGCTGGTGGGAGGAAGTCCCCTGCCCTGCACCAGCTGGAAGGACCCGAACGTGAATCCCTGGATGTCTGACTCAGTGACCATGGGTAGTGCACACCATGGCTCTGGTCTCAGCTTCCTCCTCCTGCCTGCCACACAGCATCATGTGGTTCCAAGAAGATAATGAGCACGAAGACACATGGTGAGAATGGACCTGGCCGTCCCTGACCTGGCTGGGGCGACCACCGATGTGGACCAGAAACTGGGCAGCACCCACCTGGTGGCTGCCAGCTCTTGGGAGGGTGAAGCCAGCATGGCCCAGCACCACCCCGAGGACACCTTCCAGAACATAAGCCCCCATGGCAAGCCGGCTCCTGCTTGTGCAGAGCCTGAGGCAGCTGGGCTGAGGCCTGCCCTATCCCATTGGACGGGGCAGGGGAGTGACGGCGGGAGCTCAGGGCCTGGGAACCCCAGGGCTCTTTTTTGTCCTGGTTTGCAGAAGAGGCTGGTGCCACATGTGTAGCAGGTGCCCACTGCCTGCCCCGCGTGCCCCCAGTGCCTAGGGCTCCTCCTCTCTCCATTCTCCCCTGCTGGGTGGAGTAGAGCCACCCTGGATAACTCCTGAGGACAGGGGAGTGTGTGCAAACCCCCAACCAGAACACCTGCTGTGCCAGCTCCCCGTGTCCCTAAAAAGGGCGTGACGCTGGGGGACTGTGGAGATAGGGGAAGCTCCAGGCTGGGTGGGTTGAGGCAGCAGCCTTGGAGGAACAGTCTCTTCTGTGGGAACCTGCTGACTGGACAGGGGAAAGCAGGTAGGTGACTTGTCACCAACGACGCCCCAGCTTGCAGGTTCCCCTGAGCAGAGGCTGGGATGGGCACTGTAGCTGGCTTCCACTCACTGTTCTGAGCTGGGGTAGCCCTGGATGTTCCCGCTGCAGGACAGCCCCGGGGAGGCGGAAGGGCTGCACCACTTCTCTGCAGACTCTTCTGCCACCTGCTGCCTCTCCTCCTCCCTGTGGCTCTCCCAGGGATTTTGTGCCTTACTCTCTGCTTTCTCCAGGGCCTGGCCAAAGGAGGAGGTGCTGGGGATTCCATCAGTACCCTCCCACCTCTCCCAGAGGAGGTAAAGGCAGGAAAGTCTCTGGACAGGTGCAGAGAACCGACAGCTATGTCAGCAATTCCCCAGGAAGCTTCCCAGGACCTCCCCAGGCGGAGCAGGTAGTGTGGATGTCCCTACACACCCCACTGTGGATGCCAGGCCTAGCAGGGACCGAGGCTCCAGGGATTTCAGAACCACCCAGGCTCTGGGGGTGAGTGATAAGTGAGGGGTGTTGGGGTTCAGTGGACCCTTTGTAGGTCCCAGCACTCTTTGGGCCCTGGGGAGGCACCCCTACCCCCAGGCATCTCCAAAGGCGCCTTCCCAGTATCCCTGCTCCCTGACTCGGGGGTTTCTGGGGCAGCGCCTGCAGTTCACCTGTTACTCACAGTGAAATCCCAGACTTGAAAAAAGGCGTGTGTACCAGGACATGTGCCTGCCCCATGCCACCTGGGAGACCCTGCAAGCGCTTATGGCCACAGTCACAGACGCACTTCTGCCCGCCACCTCCATGACCCCTGGACTCCCCGCCAGGGCGGGGGCCGCCACCCCACCCACTTGCAGTGCAGTCGCCCGGCCAAGGGTCCAAGGCCGACTGCGGGCCGCTGCTTAAAGGGCCAGGCCCCTCTCTCATCCCTTGCCGCTTGCCCCCCAACATCGTGAGCAGCGCAGCTGGAGTGGGGGAAGAGGAGCGGCAGGGGGAGGTGGGCTTCACAGCAGTCCTGGGACCCCAGCACAGCCTGTCCTGCCACTGTTTCTCTCCCGCTTCCCGCAAACCTGCCCTGCTGTGGGGAGGACAGAGGCTTGGTCCTCACATTCCGGCCTCTACTGTCCCTGCAAATGGACCAAGGAGCTGTGTTGCCTGTGCCGCGGGATCCTGGAACATCCCTTCTCCTGGGTGAGGGGCAGCACCCCTGCCCCCCCCAATATATTCTTTCCCACTCTCCCTGGTTCTTCGCAGAGCCAGCCCAGAGCAGGGGCTGTGCCCACCACAGGGTGGGAGGGAGCCTGAGGGCAGAGCCCGTGGGCCTGCCTGGGTGTCGCCATGAGCCCACTGTATACCACGGGGCCTGGGACTCCTTGGCAGCTGCACTTCTGGAGAAAAGGGGACACAGCCTCAACCTTGCAGGGCAGATGTCAGCACAGAAAGGCAGTTCTGAGGGTGGCATGACCAGGCCCTGGGAGTGCCCTCCTGGCAAATCCTAGCACAGGCCCGGCCCCTCCCATGCCCATACTCATCCACGCCCACCTGCACACCCATGCTGTCCCACCCACCAGTGCTGGGTGAGGGCCCCAGCCCCCCAAACCGTCCCACTCTGGCCTCGAGGGAGACAGGCCCTTCCAGGCTTGGGACTTTCCTGGGATCTGCCTGCAGGTAGGGAGGTGCCACTCTGGGACCTTTCTCAGCCTCCAAGAAGAGTCTCCTGACTCCCATTCCTGGCTAGGGCAGCAAACTGGCCTTTGGGAGGGGTCCTGTTACACCTGGTGAGCTGTAAAAAGCCCCAAACTACTCTCTCCCCGCCCCCCACCAGTTCAGTCCTCAAACTGGACCTAGGGGAACAGGGTTGGATCAGAGTGCGTCATTCTGTGGCTTCTGGTTCTGAGAGTTCACACATATGCACACAAATCCCAAATCTCACCCAGACAAGCACAGGCGGGTACATACACAAATATACCTCCATGTATATACATGCATATACACGTGCACACACGTACATGCACATATGCGCACACACAGGCATGCATATGCCCATACATGCACACATGTACATGCACACACATACATGCATGCACATGCACACACACACATACATGCACACACATGCTCACGTACACACTCGCAGAGGCAGATGCTGGTCACCAGACGCCCAGAGCCATGCACAGACGCACAGACACCCTCTGACCATGGCCACCCAGCAGTGCAGGGTGCTGGTCTCACCCACAGAGAGGTGGGGAGGGAGCCTGGCCTCAATGCTCTTGCCCAGGACACTGGACCACCCTCAAGCCTCCCAGGTGCCCTTTAGGTCCCAGGACATGCCATGTCGGGAGGTCGGCCTGGCCAAAGCGGCTGCCACCCCTTCATCCCCCACAGTCGCCCTCAGGCTGGGTGAAGGTCCCTGCTTCCACTGGATGCAGGGCCAAGGGCCTGGCTTGGCTGCCTACTCCTCACCCCACCGTGCCTGCACCCCACAGTCCCCCATATCCTCTGCTTGCCTGGAACAGCCCCTGGTAGCAGAGGCCAGGCAGAAGGAGCCTGGACAAAGACCCCAGACCTGGATGGGGGAGGGTGCACATCCCTGGGACAGGCCAGCTCCGTCCGGCTCTGGGACCTGGGCCGACCCCAGGAGGTGGATTCTACAGACACGCCCTCAGCCACAGCCCAAGGAAAGAAAGAACCCTCTGGGACCACGAGTGTGTGAGTGTATATGAGTGTGTATCAGCGTGTGTAGGGGGGCGGCTTCCCTGCCTCCAGGGCTTGGGGCCAGTTGCCCAGGCTGCTTTTGGGCCACAGGGATCCCTGGGGGCTGTCTGCTGGGACCCAGGCAGCAGCCTTGGTGCCAGGCTGTTGCCAGGCAACCTGCACTCAGCTGGGCTTTCGGAGGTGGGGGGACTTCCTCGGGACCCCACGGCTCCAACTGAGTTTCCAGAGGATGGGGCCTCTGCCTCCGGCTTCTGACAGGAGCTCCGGGAGTGGGAGGGGCTCCCAGCCTGCATGCCTTGCCCTACACCTCTGGAGCCCAGCTGTACTGTGAGGTTTCCTTCTGTGTTGAGGATAGTCATATTGGTGGGTCCTGAAGTGTGGGCGTCCTGGGGAGAGGATG
Organism: Homo sapiens; assembly: GCF_000001405.40. Taxonomy (NCBI): domain Eukaryota; kingdom Metazoa; phylum Chordata; class Mammalia; order Primates; family Hominidae; genus Homo; species Homo sapiens. The sequence goes on from NT_187584.1 coordinate 45,954, forward strand.
GTGGGGCCTCAAGAACCACAGATGTATGGAGATCCCCCCGTGCCCAGCGGACACCTCCCTGATGCCCCAGCCCCAGCCCCAGCCCCACTGCTGGCGGAGCAAGTGCCTCGGGGAGGCGTGGGTCATGGACTCACCAGTGAGGATGGCCACGCTGTCGAAGCAGCCGTCCAGCTTGCTCAGCAGGATGGAGAGGAAGCTGTCTGCGGCCAGCACGCTGGCGTCCCGCGTGCTCTGGTCATAGACCACCACGTCCTGTGGCTCCGTAGCCTCCACCTGGGGGCCATGGGGCAGAGATCAGCATGCCGCCTCCACCTATCGATGCCCTGGCCCCGTCCCAGATATGCTGGCTCAAGGGAATAGTAAGGGCATCAGATGATGGGAGGCAGGCAGCTGTCACCTTGCTGCCTGGAGGGGAGGGCAGGTGCAGTCACACACTCTCCTCCATCTGCCAGAGGCCCAGATGCACACACCCACACCACACAGCAAGCCATGGGGGCAGGGAGGGGTGGACTCCTGCCCTGCGCAGCTGTGCCCCCATGCCATGCACATGGGTGAAGGGGACGGACGCTCTGGGCCAGGCCTGTGTGGAGGAGACACAGGTGAGTGCGATGGGAGCCCAGGATAGGACCTGGCTGGCTCCCAGGGTGGCGGAGGGACAGAGAAGCTCGGCCCTGAAACGCATGCCTTCGGGTGTGGGCTCTCAGTGGGGCTAACTGTGTAGCCAGCAATTCTGCTCCCCACCCTATCCCCTCCCCAACCCCCAGCGGAGAAACAGAGGGCTGCAGCAGGACCCCAGGCCCCTGCACCAATTCCGGAGGCAGCAGCTGGAAGCTGGGTTCCTCCTGCCCTCCTCCCCCACCCCAAGGGCCAGCCCAGATGTTGAGCGGCTTTTGCTCAGACAGCACCGGTGCCCCCGCCCTGCAAGCACACACTCAGCCCTTAAGCCAGCTGAGCCGCCAACCCTGGGCTGGGTGACGTCACCGGCAGCCAATGGGATCGCACTCTGCCGGGAGTCCTTGCTGGGGGTCATTAATCACCAGATTCCCCTTGTTGGAAACCAAAGGGAGCCGATTCTGGCCTTGGGGTGGGCGGACTCCTGGCCAGTGGCCATCCCACTTGAGTCCTCCCATGTCCCAGCTCTGAACAGGGCCTATCAGTGACCCAGACCCCTCTCAAAGCCTCCAGGGCCAAGAGCTTGTCACCCTTGTCCCCTGCGAGGCAGTAGAAGGAGGAGGTGCCGCCACCTTCACAGGTCAACAGCCCCGCTGGTCCCTCCCCAGCTGCACCTGATGGTCCTGGGCAGAATGAGCTGTCCTTCCCCAGAAGGACATTCCTGGGGGGCCACAGAGAGAATTCTGGGTCCCTGAATACTCTGCGGGCTGGGGGAAGCTGTGGGACGGGGACATGGACTGCTCACGTGTGCCTTTTGACCACCCCTCCTGTCCTCACAGCAGTGGAAGTGGACCACACAGCTGTCCCTGTCCCGTGTAGGCCAGCTGGGCTGCTCCCACTGCCATGTGGTCACACCTTGCTATTCCACTCACTGCTCCCCTCTGTGAGCCTGGGTTGGCCCTGGCCACACAGTCCTATCTGCGTGGGGAGGGCCCGGCACCTCTGTGCAGAAGCTGAGCAAGGAGGCCCTGGAGGGAGGGTAGGGAAGGGTGCTGCGGGCGGGGGTGCGGGGGATGCCCTGAGCAGGGGCAACAGGCAGCGGTGAGAGGCAAGTGCCAGGGAGGACTGCTCCACACGCCCCTGGCTGTGACCCCAAGGAGTCGAGTTTGGACTGGAAGGCAGAGGAGGGGGGTGCTGCCCGAGCTGAGGGCCCCTTAGCTGTGGACCCTGGACGTGATGCATGCCTGGTGGGCAGTGGGCTGGGTACCTGGCTGCGTGCAGCCGGCTGGATGAGCTCCGCAATGGTCACCTTGCCCTGCTGCAGCCGCCGCTTCACCAGCTTGGAGCAGCAGATGTTGACGGAGCTGAGCACATGCCAGCTGTTGTACTCCACGAAGGAGCGGCTGTCGATGACCAGCGGCCCCCCAGGCCCGCCCCGCAGCAGGCTGGCCAGCTTCTTGGCATCCATCACCTTCCTCGGGAGCCGGTCCCCAGCCATGGTGGGGCAATGGGTGCTGGGGAGGGTGACCCCTGAAGTGAGGAGGGGCTGCTCCGACGGCCCAGGTGTGGCCTCGCGCTGGGAGTGACCTAGCACATGGTGCTGGACCTGCAGGGACAGGGGGATGGTCAGCAGTGCTGCGGGCCCCTGGGTGGCACCCAGAAGCTCCCCAGGACAGATCAGAGCTGGGAGCTGCGCCCACCAGGACACACCAACATGTGCCCGTGGGAACCCTTCTCCCTCTGGAGAGACCCCGTCCAGGTCACAAGGCCAGCTCTCAGCAGGATGCAACAAGGCAGAGGGGGGCAAATGGGCCCCACAGAGAAGGGTCTGAGGGCTGGAAGAGGCCAGGGGTCCTTCCTGTGGGCCCTGGGGTTCACGGACCCTTAGGCATTCCAGAACATTCCATCTCATCCCTGGGACACAGGCATCTCCCTGCTGTGACTTCTGCATCTTTTCCACCACAGGACCCCCAGCAAGTCGGGGTCTGGACTGCACCTCACCCTCCCACATGGTCAAGCTCTCTGCCCTCCTCCGGGCTTGCTGTCCTCACACCTGCCCCTCTCTCCCTAGCACAGCCCCAGGGAGTCCAATCCCTGGAGACTTGACTCCAGGGCAGCTCCGTAAGCCGATAATCCAGCCCCTGGTGGATGGTGGCCTTGGGGCTGCCTCCACTGGAGAGTGGGCTCCCGGGGGCAGCCGGATAGCAGGCGGGTGCGGGAGGGGCTCAGGCACAGAGGCACGGCTCCTTTGCCACTGCTGCCCTCCTGACCTGCAGGCTGAGGTTTAGTGTGCGCCACGTGCCTGCTGGGGGTGAGTGCCCAGCTCCTGCAGGGGCGTGTTGCACCCACACAGTGCCTCTCCCCTAGCGGAGCCTGGGGTCTAGGAGGCTCCTTCATGGGCTGATAGGGCCCAGGATGGGAGGGGCGGGGCAGCCCTGGGAGGAGGGTCAGTGTCGGGGACCCCGCAGGTGCCAGGCCCTCGGCATGGCCTGCAAAGGCCTCAGACTGCCGGGTGGGCAGGTGGAGTAGGGATGTCTGAGGATGGAGTCTCCGGAAGCCCCTCCTGCAGGCTTGATGACAAGCCTGTCACTGCCCCACTGCCGGGCCCCATCTCCCTGTCACCTGCCAGGACTGGCCTTCCTCTGGGTCCACTTTACACTCACAGCCCCTAGGAGGCGCATAGTGTTAAGGATGATGAGTTTGCTTTAACTATGGGGAAACCGAGGCTTGGGGCAGGGTTGGGACCTGGGTCACACCTGGGTCACACACAGATGGGCACTGGGTGTCCCTGCAATGCCATCTTCCCTGTGCCCCCACAGCTGCCAGGCAGTCAGGAAGTTTACTCCACCCAGCTCAGGACTGAGGGAAGGCTGGGAGATAGATGTACCCTGGGCCCTGCGCCCTGTGCAAAGCGGGCTACGGTGGGTAGCGGGCCCTCAGCAAGCCAGACCCCCAACCCACAGCCACAGGAGGCACTGGGGGGAGGCGCCCTGAGGACACCCATGCACTGCAAACAGCAGGCTGGGGACAGAGGCCACCACCGTTTCTGGACTCTCCAGGTCAGCTCCCAGGCCGGCGGGGGCCAGTGAGAGAGTTCACAGAGCAGCAGGTGCAAGGCTGGTGTGGACCTCGTCCCTGGCCCAGCCCCAACTCCACACTGAGGGGCAGGTCCCAGCTCCTCCCTGCCCAGGAGCCCCAGCCTCGCACTCACTCTCCTTCTCCAGACACTTCAAGCTTGGCCCCTGCCTGGCCCCTCCCGCCTCGACTGGGCCCAGGCTTCTGTGCATTCCCACCATCCCTCCTGTTGCCAGAGGCCAGGGAAACACCTGACTGTGGATGGGCAGCCTCAGCTGACCCCACGGCTGACACCAGGGATTGCAGTGGCACCTGGTCAGCAGGGCCTCAGGATCCCACTCAGATAACGTTCCTGGGCTGGTGCTCCAGCCTCCACCACAGGGTGGGGAACGAGGCCTGGGAGTCCTCTCCAGGGCCAGACCCAGCAAGTTCAACAGCAAAAGGGCCTGCTGCCTGCCTGCTGTGGAGGGTCTCTGCCTGCCAAGGGGGTCCCTGACTACCCACAGGGGGTCCTTGATGAGCTGTTTGTCCTTCCCGAGTTCTACCTGAGCCTTGCACAGGTGGTGAGAGGCGAGGGCCCAGATGTGTGGTTCTGGTGAGACAGCGGCTCCAGGTGCCCCGTAGGATACCCAAGGGTCCAGCTCAGAGACCCAGAACCCCGAGAAGGCTGCAGTGGCAGGGACACTTGGGCTGGGGGTCTTTTGAGGAGCTGCCCCGGCCTCAATGTCCTCATCCGTTAAGTGGGGGTGGATTCTCTCTCACTGAAAACAACAGAAGCAAATACCCCCCAGTGCAGGGAGGAGGGCAGGTGTGAGGAGAGGCCCTCGCCCTCTCTGCAGCCAGGGCCTAGCCTTCATGCAGCCCTGAGTCCTGACACTGCCATGAGAGACCTCGGTGCAGCCAGCCAGATCTGAGACCCAGAGGGAGGGGAGGGAGGAGGGCAAGTCCAGCTGCAGGGTGGTGGGCAGGGGCTGGAGGGGCGGGAGGACGGGTCCTGGCCTTTACCTGGCCCTGCTCTGCCTCCTAAGCAACGCTGAGCTGGAGCTGGGCCTATCACCCACAATAGTATTGTTATTTGCAGCCGAAGGGGATTCATTAGCAAGTTAGCACCTCCATCGTCACCATGGCAACAGCAGAGGTGCCAGGCAACCGCTGCTCCTGCGGCAGCCACCACCATGGAGCAGGCTCCTCTGCAGAGTGGGCACGCGCCCCTCCCTGCTCTCTCCTACCCACCCCAGCAGGTGCCCGGCAGTGCAGAGCCCAGTCCTCAGCCCCTCCGCTCCTCTGCCCTACCTGGTCCTAACCTTCCTTCCCACTCCAGGTACCTGCTGTGCCCAGCATGCTCCCTGCAGCTCGCCGGCTCCCCGCCCCCTCAGAGGCCTTCTCTGTACTGCGAAGGGCTGGCCGAGTGCCCCCTCCTGCAGGAAGCCTCTGTGCCATGCTGGCCTCTGGGAGAGCATCCTCACCCACAGGGTCTCCCTGGACCTACAGCTCCCAGGGGGACATGTTCCTCACCTCTGTCTCCCCAGATGCTAAGGATCGGGGCTCAGCTATGCCAGGGATGGGGCAGGTTGGGTGGGGTGGGGAGCAGAGACACTAAGGACAGTCTGGTGCAGATCAGTGGGGCCAGCACTGGCCATGTGGGAACAGAGGTAAGGAAATGTGGATGGTGTTGGTTCCATGCCTCTCCTTTCACGGCCCCACATGCCAAGCCCTCCTGAGTACCTGTGGCCCTGCTATTCCAGTGCCTAGGGGTTGGGGGGTGAGAGGCAGGGCTGGGGACAGGATGCCCCCTAGCACAGCCCCATACACCCTTTTCAAAAGTCTTTGAGCCCAGGAGGAAGCAGTTTCCAAGTCCAAAGTCAGAAGAAGGCTCCTCCCAGGCCCACACCTTCCAGGAGGCACCAGGCCGCCACCCTCCCCTGGGACACAGCACGCCTGGCTCCAGTGCTGCGTGCACACTGCCCTCTGTGCGTGCCAGAACACACCTCTTTGCACACCCACTCCACACACAGGGCTGGTGCTCCTTACCCACAATCCACCTGCCCTGTGTGCAAGTACCCACGCGTGAATATGTGCACACGCGTGGGCTGGACATACACTAGAGTACACGCACGTCCTTGCCCTCTGTATGCAGGATCCCCTGAGAACCCCAGGACTCCAGTACCCGAGGGGTCAGCTTCAGACTCCTTACAAACACGAGCTCCCACACCCAGCGTCTCTGTGCAGCACATTCCTGTCCCTGAGCACAGACGGGACCAGGGAGTCCCAGGCCACCCCCAGCTCTCAACTGACAGCATCCTTACCATGTTACCTTCTGCTCAGCACCTAGAAATGGGGACTCACTACCTTCAGAGACAGCTGCCAGGACTGTCAAGCATGGGGGGATGGGACTGTGTCTCCCCCTCACACCTAGGCAGGCTCTTGGAGCTGTCCGGCTCACTGTTACCCAGGGATGCTTCTGGAGGCAGAAATCGTCACACTAAGGAGGCTGAGGAGAGACTGGTGGGTGGCAACTCTGGGAGGCAGGGACCCTGCACTCACACAGGTCAGCTCATCTTCCCTCACTGGGCTCCCCCAGATGCCCTCATCCCTGCCTCCCCTCAGCTCCCTTGGCTAGTGCTGTAGGACCCAAGCTGGCCTACACTCTGCTCCGCTGGCCTGGGGAAGCTGTGGACCTGGGAGAAAGTGGGGTGGGGCGGGGGGCTCCCTCCGATCCCAGGAACGGGGTCCGGGCAGGGCAGGGGATGGGAGGACTTGGCACAAGGGGCCGTGACAGTCGAGTCTCAGAGCCGGACATATCCAGGTTCCCTCCCTTCCCACCAGACCTGTGTCCCTCCTCCTGGTCACTGTGCCACATGCTAAACATCAGGACCAGTGTGGCGCTTCCAAGGTTCACTGCCCTGAGCAACTCCGGCAGAGGGGGCCTCAGCGGGTGCAGTTCTCATGGCCAGAGTCCAACCACCTCTCTCTCACTGTGGGTCTGCCCCTTTCCCTGCCTTCTGCAAGAAGTGACACCTAGGTCTCCCCAGGCCCTAGCTGATGCCCCTTCGAGGCACCTGTCCAGTGGCAGCCTCTAGGCCCTGACTTCAGCCCCAGCCTGAGAAGAGAAGGGTCCTGGAGCAGAGACTGACTCTAAGCGTCTTTCTGCACCTCTGTTAATGGGACTTTATTCCCAGAAGCCTCCCCGAGGACAGAGGATACCAGGGGAATAGAACCTGCCCAGCCACACTCGTGCAGCCCCCGGCTGGCTGCAGCAGGAGGTATTTCAGCGAGACTTCAGGATGAACTTCCAGCTGGGGTCACATGATCTGCCATCCGCATCCAGTGCTTATTAGCAGTGAATGCATGGGACTGTCCTCCTGGTGGAGGGCTGGGGCCTGGGGTGCTACATTCACCCCTGGACCGCCCTAGGTGCAACAGTGTCTCTGGGTGGGCTGTGCCAGAAGGGAGGCAAGGGAGAGTGCCGGGGTTTGGATCTCCCCTCAGACCCCCCGCTGGGGCACAAAAGGAGCTTCCCTGGCCTGCAGCACCCCACCCCCACCCCAAGCTGCACAGCAAGAGCACTGCGGAGCCACGCTACATCCTGCCACCCCCTCCTCCATCCCACAGTGTCCCCGCCCCCCATCACTGCAGCACCAGAGCCCCTATTCCCCTCAGCAGAGGCCGGTACACCCCGCAGCAGGGAGACGGAGGCAGATTCTCCCAGAAGGGGTGACCCTGTTGGGGCTGGGCCTATTGTTGCCCCCTCCCCTCCAGGCCAGACTATTAGGTATCCCCACCTGGTCTGCTCCGCATCCCAGGCTGGGCAGCTGGGCCTAGCGAGGTGGCTGCAGCAGCCTGGCTGTGCCAGCCCCTCCCCCAGCGCCGCGGCTGCCTCTGCAGCAGGCGGAAGGGCGCGGGGGCTTTATCCCTCAGGGGCCGGCTGGGCACCCCGGGATGGGGAGGCAGTGCGGCCTGGACACTGGGGGGATGGATCTGCAGCCCTCCCCCCCGACAGGGGAAGGCCCCTTCCCGGGTGTCCCAGGCCAGAGGCCGTCGCGTCCCTCCCACGGCCGAGGCTCCACACCTCCCGGACCGACTCCGGGCCAGGGTCCGCCTGCTCCGGTTCTGGCCCCCGCGGGGGTGACGTTCGGGACGTCGGGGGCTCGCGCAGATCCGCGCTGGATCTCAGGCGGCCCTGGTGGGTCCTGGATTTTTGTCCCCCCCCCATTCCACACCCAAAGAAGGAGCTGCGGGGAGAAGGGCGGCAACGCGGCGGGCGGGCGTGGGCTGGGCCCGGGTCCGCCGGGCGTTGCGGGGGGCGGGGAAGGGGCCTCCCTGTCCCTGGCGTCCTGGACGGCCGTGGCCGCTCATTCCGGGGCCGCCTCCTCCTCCCGGGCGCCCACCGGGTGCCGCTGCCCCAGCGCCCCCGACGCGGCGCCCTCCGCCCCCCGGCCCGGGCCGGTGAACCCCATCCCCGGCGCCCGCCCCCGCCCCGCCGGCGCCTCCGCTCACCTCGCTCGCGCTCGCCTCGGGGGCGCTCCGGGGACCCGCGCCGCGCTCAGGGCGCCCGCTCGGCCGCGCCGTCCATGGGCCCGGCGGGGGCCCGCGCAGCCGGGGCAGGGGCCGGGGGAGCGCGCGGGCCGCGTCGCCGTCGCCGCCGTCGCCGCCGCCAACGCCGCGGGGAGCGCTCGCTCGGGCCGGGGCGCGCGCACTGCGGGCGGGCACGCGCGCTCGCGGCGCGCATCCCAGCCCCGCGGCTCGGCGGGCGCGGCCGGGAGGTTCCGGCGCGGCTCGGGCTCGGGCTCGGGCTCGGGCTCGGGCGTCCGGCGTCCGGCGGGGCGTCGTGGGGGGAGCCGGCTCGGCCGCCGCGCTCGGCCGCGAGTGACAGGCCCGGGGCGGAGGGCGGGGCCGCCGGCGGGGATGAGGTCATGCCGAGCGAAAAAAGCCCCTGACGTCACCTGCAGCCAATCAGCGCGCGCGGCTCGGGGGCAGGTGACGTCAGCGGAGCCCGGGCTCGGGGTGAAGCTGAGGCGGCTGCCGCGGGGGGGGGGCGGGGTGCAGGGTGCGGGTGGGTCGCGCCGCCGCCGCCTTCCGCCCTCACCCCGGGACCGGCTCTTAAAGGGACCACGCGGCGTCCGGGACCCCGCCTCCAGGAAGCCCTCCCGGCCCCGGGCCCCGCGTCACCCAGGCCCCCCGTCACCCGGGCCCCCGGCCGCGTCGCACAGACCCCGGACGGTCCAGCTGAGCGGCTCCGGGCGCGAAGTCCTCCCCCCGACCCGGACAGGCGCCGGCGCCGCTCCCCCCTTCTCCTGGCCTTTGTTGGCGCTGGGCCGCCGCCGGGGAGCCCTCCCCAGACCCAGGCGCGGCGTTTTACCTGCAGCGGCTGTGCTCGCCCCGCCGCGACCCCCGCAGGACGGAGCCGGATCCCCCTGCACTCGGGCGGACCTGGGACCCTCAGAGGCGAGCCGGCTGCCTCGGGTCACACATCCGCGAACTCCGGGGGCGGGCTCCCCAGGACGCCGCCGACCCCCCACGACCCCCAGCCCTCCCGCTTCCGTGGAAAGCCGCCCCGACGACCCCTGTGCGGGCTGTTGAGGGGCCGCACCCCGCCGACCGCTGTGGGAACACCTCCGCGCGTGCGGCGGGGACGCGGCGAGTCCGGGGCAGGAAGAACGCACGGGTAATTGCACCTTCGGCAGGTGTTGGGCGGGAGCAAGGGGGTCAGACTCGCGCTGCAGGGGGAGGGCGGGGGAGGCCTCGCTGTCCTGGAGGAAGGGGACAAAGACCCCTGCCCAGGAGCCTGGGAGCCTTTGAAAGTAATGATTTTTTGGCGGGGGGGGGTTGTCACGAGACACCCTAGACATTTCTAAAAGGCCCCCTCCCCGCTGCCGGGTGGAGAGGGAGCGTGGGGGGATCCGCCTTCTGCCCCCGAGCCCCCAGCCAGCCTGGGCCCCCCAGGGTCACCCTGGGGCTCTGAAGGGGGCTTCGGCCGCTGGTTGAATGAAGGGCCACAGAAAATGAAGCTGGCGCAACGACCGCAGAACCCTCAGTGGGCACCAGGACCACGGAGCTCAGGGTGCCAATGGTGATGGCTGGGGGTGGGGAGTACTGTGGGCAGCAGGGGATGCTGAGCGGGGTTTGGGGCTCCCCCTTTCCATACTCAGTCTTCCTGCCAGCCTCAGAGCTGAGTACACCGTTGGCGATTAATAAGCGCTTGCAGCTCCCTTCCCTGGCCAGCCTGAGGGGAGCGGCAGTGGCCCGTATGGGGTGGGGGTGGCGGTGGAGTGCGTCCTGGCGCAGAGCTGGCACACAGCACAAACAAACGCCTTGGCGGGAGTGGGTCTGTCCCGGAAGGGAGCCCAGGGGTTATTGGGGTTGGGGCTGCGCCCCAAAGCGGGAGGGCCCTGCGAGAAGGGAGGCCCTGGCTGGAGGGGGACCCTGAGACTGGAGGTGCCGGACCCGGATGCGGGGCCAGGTGAGTAGGGCTGCCTGCTGCAGCCTTGCTGGGTTTGAAAAGTGGGGGAGGCTTGGCCCTGGGAGGGGGCAGGAGGATTCAGGCTGAGACCCGGAGGGGGCGAAGGAGGTCCTTGAGGAGGCAGTCACAGGCCTGAAAGGACCTGGGACCCGCAGGCATGGGAGCTGTTAGCCGTTAGATAGAGGGGCTGTCGCCTGGGGGGAAGCCTCACCTGGCTTGTTCCCCCTGCCAGGCCTAGGTGAGCCCGATGGGCGTGTCTTCTGCCCAGCTGGGATGTGGCCAGCATCTGCCTGTGGCCTGGGAGTGCCCATTGTCCCCTAAGAGCTCTGGTTATACCCTGGGCAGCTACTGGCCAGGCTGGAGCAGGTGGCAGGCAGCGACCTTTAGTCCCTCCTGGAGGCTCCCAGGGGGCGGTTTGGAGGGGAATACGGCTCCCCTGGAGGGCCTGGGCTGTCCCTGGGGGGCAGAGTGCCCTGGGCGGCGATTGTTATAATCCCCGTAGCCATTTTCATGCAAATAAGCACTGAGAGCGTTAGGTTCTGCCCCTAACCAGGCTGGCGGACTAGGGAGGTGGCACCCTGGGGAGGACGGTGGTTTTTCTGCAGCCCCGCCTTAGTTCCACGTTGCCTTTGCACCCAGCAGAGGCCGGCCTGGGCGGTGGGCTCAGGGGCCTGGGTGCCCGACCAGGTCGGCTCGGCTCAGCTCAGCTCGGCGGCCGCACCGCCTCCCGGCACAGGTGTGGACGGGGGTGGGAGGCGCGACCAGGGAGGGGGCTGCGGTGTCAGTCCCGGCCCGGGCCTGTAGACGCCGCCTCGGGGGTCTCTGGGGCTCGGGAGGACCTTGCGAGGGGCCGGGGAGGCGCCAAGGCCGCGGCGAGGGACGTGCGGGGGTCCAGCAGCCTGGGGCGGGGACGCGCGCTCCGGGCCGTGCAGGTGGGGGTCCGAGCGGGGCCGGCCCGGCGGTTCGCGCGCGCCCTCTGCCGTCCGCAGGCCGTGGCGCAGGCTCGGCCGCCTGAAGCTCCTCTCGCCTCCGGGAGGACGTCCAAGGTCGTTTCTTAAAGCATCCCTATTGCGCAGAAGGAACAGTGGGGTTCACTTTTCTCGCTAATGTGCATATAATCGTTGCAACTAATTATGTGTAGCAAACCTCCATGCCACTATTTCCCCAACTTTTTTAAGTCAAGGCATAGCTAACTCAATACAATGCCCATCCCAGCTGTTCAAGTAGACTTTTTCTCCCGTTATTTCTTTAAAAACCGTATGATTTTTTCTTGTGGTAAAATGCATGCAGGAACATACGGTGTGCCATATTAACTATTTTTAAGTGAATTTGGCAGCATTAAGTACATTCACTTTCTGTGTAACCGTCACCACCACCCATCTCTGGAGCTTTTCGTCTTGGAAAACTGGAACTCTACTCTGTCCTCATTAGACACCAACTTCCCAACCCCCTCCCCAGCCCTTGGCACCCATTATTCAAGTAGATTTTTTTTTTTTTTTGACGGAGTCTCATTCTTGTCGCCCAGGCTGGAGTGGAGTGGTACGATCTCAGCTCACTGCAACCTCCATCTCCTGGGTTCAAGCGATTCTCCTGCCTCAGCCTCCCAAGTAGCTGGGATTACAGGCGGCCACTACCATGCCCAGCTAATTTTGTGTGTTTAGTAGAGATGGGGTTTCACCATGTTGGCCAGGATGGTCTCGAACTCCTGACCTCAGGTGATCCTCCCGTCTTGGCCTCCCAAAGTGCTGGGATTACAGGCGTGAGCCACTGCACCCAGCCAGTAGATGGGTTTTGACAACTGTATATGTAGTTTTATCACCATCAAAATGAGACCTAGAAACTTTATTATCCCAGAAGTTCCCTGGTGCCCTGTCCTCACCCTCTGACCTGTCACCGTGAGTTACTGCTATCTGTTCGTACACTTTATAAAAATGGAAACAATGGAAACAAACAATGAGAGGACTTTTGCCCCTGGCATCTTTCACTCAAGGAAATACTTTTTTTTTTTTCCAGACAGAGTCTCTTTGTTCCCCCAGGTTGGAGTGGAGTGGCGCGATCTCAGCTCGCTGCAACCTCCGACTCCCGGTTTCAAGCGATTCGCCAGCCTCAGCCTCCTGAGTAGCTGGGATTACAGGCGCCCGCCACCACGCCCATCTAAATTTTGTATTTTTTAGTAGAGATTGGGTTTCACCACGTTGGCCAGGCTCGTCTCGAACTCCTGACCTCAGGTGATCTGCCCACCTTGGCCTCCCAAAGTGCTGGGATTACAGGCGTGAACCACCTTGCTTGGCCTTAAGGAAATACTTTTGAGATTCGTCCACATTGCTGCTTTCCCACAACCTGATGATAACGTCTGTGTGGTTCTGTATTTCATGGGTGTATGGCAAGAGTGGAACCAATTCTTTATTTTTTACATATTAGATTATTTTCATATTTGGGCTATAAAAAACTGCAGCAGGCCGGGCACGGTGGCTCATGCCTGTAATCCCAGCACTTTGGGAGGCCGAGGCGGGTGGATCATGAGGTCAGGAGATCGTGACCATCCTGGCTAATGTGATGAAACTCTGTCTCTACTAAAAATCCAAAAAATTAGCTGGGCGTGGTGGCGGGCGCCTGTAGTCCCAGCTACTTGGGAAGCTGAGGCAGGAGAATTGCTTGAACCCGGGAGGCGGAACTTGCAGTGAGCCGAGATCGCACCACTGCACTCCAGCCTGGGTGACAGAGCGAGACTCCATCTCAAACAAAAAACAAAAAAGAAAACAAACAAAAAAACTGCAGCAGACAGCATCCTATTGTATATGCTTAAAAAAAGAGATATGGGATCCCTCTATTTTATCCAGGCTGGACTGAACTCTTCCTGGGCCCAAGTGATCCTCCTGCTTCAGGCTTCCCGTAGCTGAGATTATAGGCACGTGCCACCACACCCAACTCTTACATGTTTGTAACACACTTCTCAGATTATTTTTCTTTCTTCCCTCTCTCTCTTTCTCCATTTCCTTCATTCCTTCCTTCTGTCCTTCTGTCCTTCCTGTCTTCCTTTTCTTTCTTGACAGGATCTCACTCTGTCACCCAGGCCAGAGGGCACTGGTGGAAATATAGCTCACAGCAGTCTCAACCTCCTGAGCTCAAGGGATCCTCCCATCACAGCCTCCTGAGTAGCTGGCACTACAGGCATGTGCCAGCATCTCCAGCTAATTAAAAAAATTTTTTTTGGCCAGGTGTGGTGGTGCGTGCCTGTAATCCTAGCTACTCGGGAGGCTGAGACACCAGAATCGCTTGAACCCAGGATGCGGAGCTTGCAGTGAGCCAAGATCGTGGCACTGTACTCCAGCCTGGGCAACGGAATGAAACTCCATCTCAGAAAAAAAAAATTTTTTTTGTAGAGATGAAGTCTCACTATGTTACCGAGGCTGGTCGCAAATTCCTGGGCTCAAGCAATCCTCCTCTCTTGGCCTTCAGCCTTCCAAAATGCTGGGATTACAGGATTATTTTCTTTCCTAGTTTTTTTTTTTTTTTTTTTGGATGGCATCTCGCTCTGTTGCCCAGGCTGGAGTACACTGGTGCGATCTCAGCTCACTGCAACCTCCACCTCCTGGGTTCAAGCGATTCTCCTGCCTCAGCCTCCTGAGTAGCTGGGATTACAGGCGCCTGCCATCATGCCCTGCTAATTTTTGTAGTTTTAGTAGAGACAGGGTTTCACCATGTTGGCCAGGCTGGTCTCGAACTCCTGACCTCAGGTGATCTGCCCGCCTCGGTCTCCCAAAGTGCTGGGATGACAGGCGTGAGCCACAGCGCCCCCTGCCCCCAACTCCCATGTCCCCAGATATTGCAAAGTTGCCCTGAGTGGAGAATTCTAATAACTTGCCAGCAGGCTAGAAGAACTCCATTTAAAACCCTTGCCAGGGCTGGGCATGGTGGCTAACACCTGTAATCCCAGCACTTTGGGAGGTTGAGGTGGGCGGATCACCTGAGGTCAGGAGCTTGAGACCAGCGTGGCCAACATGGTGAAACCCCATCTCTACTAAAAAATACAAAAATTAGCCGGGTGTGGTGGTGGGCACCTGTAATCCCAGCTGCTTAGGAGGCTGAAGCAGGAGAATCCCTTGAACCCGGGAGGTGGAGGTTGCGGTGAGCTGTGATTGTGCCATTGCACTCTAGCTTGGGCAACAAGGGCAAAACTCTGTCTCAAAATAAAATAAAATAAAACCCTTGCCAACACTTGGGATTTTATGCATTTTGATTATAGCTGCATTACTTGATGGGTTGACTAGGAGGACACTGGAGTGTCTTCTCACACAGACTCCATATTTAGTTTGAAGACGTCCTTCTATATTGCCTTATAATCTTCCCCAGGGAGGCCTTACAGTCTTCCCATTGCGTATATTACTCCTGAGCTTATGATTTCGGTTGCTTTGTGAAAGGTTATAAAAACCACAATTTCTGATGTGTTGTTGCCTGTCATGGGCTGGCTGTCGATCACCCTCTCTGACTTCTCTTACTCCTCCAAGCAGGCCGCCTGTAGGTTCACTTGGATTTCCCAGGTAGATGGCCCTATCATCTATGAATCTGCACTTTCGTTTCTTTCCAAACCTCACATTGCTTGTTTCTTGTCATATTGCATGGGCTGGCATCACCATTATAATGCTAAGTGGACATGGTGATGGTGGGAGTCTTAGCTTCCATTCCCCAGAAAGTAGCCAGATGCAAAGCTCAGTGTACACATTTTCTGGAAGGGAGGAACACACCGAGCCAGGGAGGAGGTGAAGCTGAGGCAAGGCTGCTTCTTACTCAGCTGCTGTGGCTTTTTGGAAGTTGCAGCTCAGCTGGCCACGTCTGCACACCCTCTCCCACGAGACCATACAGCGATGCTCCACCTCAGAATGGTCCACAGGGAGGAGGAAGGGAGAATAGTTTCTCTGCAAGCTCCTTCCTGTCTTCTGCTCTCATAGGTCAGAGTTGCTCTCCCGAGGAATTAAGTTCCCTGCATCTTCAGGTGGTGTTACTGGCCCCTCTTGGCAGCTGCTGGGCAGGCCAGAGTGTCTGAGGGTTTGGGGAAGCTGGCACATTGTGTGGAGTGAGAGAGAGGTTCATTAAAATTCCCAATTATTCCTATACATTCCCAATTATAGTCCCAATTGTATTTGTGGATTTATCTATTTCTTATTTTAGTTTTGTCAATGTTTGCTTTATATGTTTTAAAGCTCAGTTATTTGGCACATAGAAGTTTAGGATTGTTTTCTGTTTGGTTGCATGAACTCTCCTATCATCATGAAATGTTATCTCTTCTAATAATGGTTTTGTTTCAAAGTCCACATTGTCTGATCTTACTATCATTATACTAGGTTTTTGAAAACATTAATGTTTGCCTAATATATCTTTTTTTTTATTCTTTTGCTTTCTATCTTCCTGGATCTTGATATTTAGGGTTTGTTTTTTCTAAACAACATGCATCTTATTTAACTTCTCTCTGTTTTTTTTTCTTTCCTTTTTTTTTTGAGACAGAGTCTCACTCCGTCACCCAGGCTGGAGTGCAATGGTGCAATCTCGAGTCACTGCAGCCTCTGCCTCCCAGATTCAAGCGATTCTTGTGCCTCAGCCTCCCAAGTAGCTGGAATTATAGGCACGGGCCACCACACCTGGCTAATTTTTTGTACTTTTAGTAGAGACGAGGTTTCACCATGTTGGCCAGGCTGGTCTCAAACTCCTGACCTCAAGTGATCAGCCTGCCTTGGCCTCCCAAAGAGCTGGGATTACAGGCATGAGCCACCGTACCTGGCCTAATTTCTGTCTTCTGTTAGCTTCCGGGTTATGTATTCATTATCCTTTAATGGCTACCTTAGAGATGGTTATATTTATTTATTTATTTTTTTGAGATGGGGTCTCACTCTGTTATCCAAGCTGGAGTGCAGTGGCATAATCATGGCTCACTGCAGACTTGACCTCCCAGGCTCAGGTGATTCTCCCACCTCAGCCTCCTGAGTAGCTAGGACTATAGGCACCTGCCAACACACCCGGCTAATTTGTGTATTTTTGGTAGAGATGGAGTTTTGCCATGTTGCCCAGGCTGGTTTTGAATTCCTGGTCTTGAGCAATCCATCTGCCTTGGCTTCCCGAAGTGCTGGGACTACAGGCGTGAGCTTCTGCACCCATCCAGAGATTATGATAACATATTATCAGTTAATAATCTCGTGTCTTCATAAACAAGGCAAGAACCTTACAACTATTTAATTCTGTTTATCCCTCTCCTGACTTCTGTGCTGTTGTCATATATTTTACTTCCACAAAGTTTAAAAATTTTATAGGACATTGAATATTGTTTTATTTATTTATTTAGAGACGGAGTCTTGCTCTGTTGCCCAGGCTGGAGTGCAATGGTGCAATCTTGGCTCACTACAACCTCTGCCTCCCAGGTTCAAGCAATTCTCTTGTCTCAGCCTCCGAAGTAGCTGGGATTACAGGTGCCCACCACCATGCCCAGCTACTTTTTTTTTTGTTTTTTTTTTGAGATAGAGTCTTGCTCTTGTTGCCCAGGCTGGAGTGCAGTGGTGCGATCTCGGCGCACTGCAACCTCCACATCCCGGGTTCAAGCGATTCTCCTGCTTCACCCTCCTGAGTAGCTGGGACTACAGGCGCATGCCACTACACCCGGCTAATATTTTGTATTTTTAGTTGAGACAGGATTTTACCATGTTGGCCAGGCTGGTCTCGATTTCCTGACCTGTGATCTGCCTGCCTCGGCCTCCCAAAGTGCTGAGATTACAGGCGTGAGCCACTGTGCCCAGCCCTTGGCTACTTTTTATATTTTTAGTACAGACAGGGTTTCATCATGTCGGCCAGTCTGGTCTTGAACTCCTGACCTTGTGATACACTCACCTCGGCCTCGCAAAGTGCTGGGATTACAGGCGTGAGCCACCGTGCCTGGCCCTTGGCTACTTTTTATATTTTTAGTAGAGATGGGGTTTCACCATGTTGGCCAGTCTGGTCTCGAACTCCTGACCTCAGGTGATCCGCCCTCCTCGGCCTCCCAAAGCACTGGGATTACAAGCGTGAGCCACTGTGCCTGGCCCAATCATAGTTATTTTAAAGCCCTTGTTTCCTAACTCCAATATGTGGCTTATCTGTAATCTGCTTCTTCTGTTAGCTTTCCGCATGATTATTGATCACTGTTTCCTGCTGTGTCCTGTATCTCGTGCTTTCTGTCAGAGGTATGCCTCAAAGGACCGTGGGGGTCCATATCTAGGGACCGTGGGGGGTCCATATGTCGGGACCGTGGGGGTGTCTATATCTCGGGACCGTGGGGGTCCATATCTAAGGACCGTGGGGGTCCATATCTTGGGACCATGGGGGGTCTATATGTCAGGACCGTGGGGGTCTATATCTAAGGACCGTGGGGTTCTGTATCTCAGGACCGTGGGGGTCCATATCTAGGGACCGTGGGGGTCCATATCTAGGGACCGTGGGGGGTCCATATGTCGGGACCGTGGGGGTGTCTATATCTCGGGACCGTGGGGGTCCATATCTAAGGACTGTGGGGGTCCATATCTTGGGACCATGGGGGGTCTATATGTCAGGACCGTGGGGGTCTATATCTAAGGACCGTGGGGTTCTGTATCTCAGGACCGTGGGGGTCTGTATCTAGGGACCGTGGGGATCTGTATCTAGGGACCGTGCGGATCTGTATCTAGGGACTGTGGGAGTCTATATCTAAGGACCGTGGGGTCTATATCTAGGGACCGTGGGGGTCCATATCTCAGGACCGTGGGGATCTGTATCTCAGGACCGTGGGGGTCTGTATCTCGGGACCGTGGGAGTCTATATCTAGGGACTGTGGGAGTCTATATCTAAGGACCGTGGCGTCCATATCTAGGGACCATGGGGGTCCATATGTCGGGACCGTGGGGGGTCTATATCTCGGGACCGTGGGGGTCCATATCTAAGGACCATATGTCGGGACCGTGGGGTTCTGTATCTCAGGACCGTGGGGGTCTGTATCTAGGGACCGTAGGGATCTGTGTCTAGGGACCGTGGGGGTCTATATCTAGGGACTGTGGGAGTCTATATCTAAGGACTGTGGCGGTCTGTATCTCGGGACCGTGGGGGTCTATATCTCAGGACCGTGGGGCTCCATATCTCAGGACCATGGGGGTCTGTATCTAAGGACCGTGGAGGTCTATATCTCGGGACCGTGGGGGTCTCCATCTAAGGACTGTGGGGGTCTAGCTGCTCTCTTCCAACAGTGAGCACGTGGCCTCCCTCTCTAGTGCAGACAGGGAGAGGAGCTGAACATTTCGTCTACCCGCTCAGTTAGGGATTGGGCCACTTCAGTCAATCGTCCCTCTGTGTGGCTTTCCTGGAGTTTTGGTTAAGAGCCTGGCCAGTCCGTGTCTTCTTATCCCTGACAGGCTGTCAGAGAGTCACTTCTTTCCCTGAGGTACAGGCTTAGCTCTTTAGTTGTCTGCTCAGGCAGCTTCAAAATTTGGAAAATGTCTTAAGGGCCAGATTAACCTGTGCCTGGGGCAGGACCCCTTCCTCTAGAAAAGCTCTGTGTACTAAGCTCCACAAGGCTATGCGAGACTTCAGCGCACCTGCGGAGGCCTCAGGCCTCACTTCTTAGCCTCCCCAGAAATTTGCAAATGTCCCAGTTTTCTGCTCCAGCCCCTGTGGTTGCCAAGAGCCCTGCTGGGTATTTCTCCCAGTAGAATTCCTCTTCCCCAGTGGGACCGAGGCTCAGCTCATACCCAGCACTGGTTAATTCCTTAAAGGGAGAGAAGCCGACATTCAGCTCATCTTGGAAGGGCTCTCTCTGAATGTTTTCATCTGGTTCTTGTTGCTTCTACAGTTCTCCAATGTCTTTTTTATAGATACATTTTTCCGGTATTTCAAAATTGTGGGCCGGATGCAGTGGCTGACGCCTATAATCCCAGCACTTTGGGAGGGTGAGGCAGGTAGATCACTTGAGGTCAGGAGTTTGAGACCAGCCTGGCCAACATGGTGAAACCCCATCTCTACTAAAAATACAAACAAAACAAAATTAGCTGGGCATGGTGGCTCATGCCTGTAGTCCCAGAAACTCAGGAGGCTGAGGCAGGAGAATAGCTTGAACCCAGGAGGCAGAGGTTGCAGTGAGTGGAGATCACACTACTGCACTCCAGCCTGGGCAACAGAGTGAGACTCCATCTCAGAAAAAAAAAATTGTGGTAAGATACATACGGTAGGATTTCCTGAAGTTATTTATTTATTTATTTATTTATTTATTTATTTATTTATTTTACCATCTGAGTTCTGTAATTAATGTGGCCTTCTCTGGTTGCTGCAATGGGATTGCTGACCTTCCATATACATCCCCTCTGGAATGTCATATTTGCATTCTTCTGGCTTTTTTTGTTTGTTTTTTGTTTTTTTTGAGACGGAATCTTGCTCTGTAGCCCAGGCTGGAGTGCAGTGGCGCGATCTCGGCTCACTGCAGCCTCCGCCTCCCGGGTTCACACCATTCTCCTGCCTCAGTCTCCTGAGTAGCTGGGACTACAGGCGCCTGCCACCATGCCCGGCTAAATTTTTGTATTTTTAGTAGAGAGGGGGGTTTCACCGTGTTAGCCAGGATGGTCTCAATCTCCTGACCTGGTGATCCGCCCCCCTCGGCCTCCCAAAGTGCTGGGATTACAGGCATGAGCCACCGCACCTGGCCGCCGGCATCTTTAATTCAGACTGCCAGCTTCCAGAACCCTGAGAAATACACTTCTGTTGTACATGCCAGTCCATGGTGTTCTGTTACATCAGCCCAAAGAGAATAAGACCGCGTGGTAACAGGCCATGATGACCCCCTAGTGATTGCTTTTGCCTGATCAAGGCAAGGCACCCCCGCCCTGAGCCAGATGCTGAGAGGGTGTGGTAGAGGCTGCACGGCAAGGGGCTGAGCCAGGTGGCTGCTGGTGCTCCTGCCTCTGACCGCCACCATGTATCCAGGATCCCTGCTGGCCAGGGCGCCCACCTGCCTGCTCCGGTTTGGTTCAGGGCCGGTGTGTGTGTGTGTGTGTGTGTGTGTGTGTGTGTGTGTGGTTCCCAGGGGACCCAGTGTAGCCACAGATGCCCCCCACCTGCCTCGAGAGGGAAATAAACATAAATATACCAAGACAGCTATGGGGTGCTGGGGTGAGCGGTTTATTGGATGTTTAAAGGACAGAGATCTGAACTCCTAGTGACTGCAGAGTGAGCAAGCACCCTGGGCTGTCCTGCAGGGCTGTCCGTGCTGGATGTGGTGCCAGCAGGCAGGGCTTGCGGATAGGCATTTGCTGCAGGTGGCTGGGGCGGTGGGGGGCTGGTCTCCAGATGCCTGGAAGGGAGGCCTTGAAAGTCATTCTTCTTGGATGCATGGGCCCATGGCATTTCTTGGTAGAAGGTCAAAGAGAAGTGTTCATGCTTGGCAAGGCAGGAGGGTGGGAGATAGGGTAGTGGGTGGGGAAGGAGAGTCTGGCTCACTGGGTGCCAGGAAAAGGAGGTAAAGGCTGGGCAGGAATGCCTGGCCATGGTAAGAGTCCTGCAAAGCCAGAAATCAGATCTTGCACTGGCAGCACACGGGGACACAGCAACTGGACTGGGAGCAGCAGGGCTTGCAGCAGCTGGATTGGCAACAGGATGACCCACAGCCTGAGGAACAGCAGCAGGGCTTACAGCAACTGCACTGGGAGCAGGATGACCCGCAGCCTCCCTTAGACCCCGCGCAAGAGCCACAACTGGAACAGGAACAGCAACACACGGGCACACCGCAGCCGGAGCCACAGCCCCCACAGCCGGAGCCACAACCCCCCTTGGATCCCCCACAAGAACCGCAGCCCCCCTTGCAGCCTCCACAGGAGCCACAGCCCCCCTTGGAGCCCCCACAAGAACCACAGGCCCCCTTGGAGCACCCACAGGAGCCACAGCCCCCTTTGCCACAGCTGGAGCAGGAACAAGCTGGCACACAGCAGCACATGGGCTTGCAGCAGCAGACAGGCACACAGCAGCTGGAGCCACATCCCCCACAGCCGGAACCACAGCCACCCTTGGATCCCCCACAAGAGCCACAGCCCCCCTTGGAGCCCCCACAGGAGCCACAACCCCCCTTGGATCCCCCACAAGAGCCACAGCCCCCCTTGCAGCCTCCACAGGAGCCACAGCCCCCCTTGGAGCCCCCAGAAGAGCCACAGCCCCCTTTGCCACAGCTGGAGCAGGAACAGGTTGGCACACGGCAGCACACGGGCTTGCAGCAGCAGACGGGCACACAGCAGCTGGAGCCAGAACCTCCACAGCCAGAGCCACAGCCCCCACAGCCGGAGCCACAGCCCCCACAGCCGGAGCCACAGCCCCCACAGCTGGAGCCACAGCCTCCGGAGCAGCCGCAACAGCCCATGGTTCTGGTGGATTGAGGGTGGAGCAGGTAGAGGAGCAGGTGAGAGGGAGGTGCAGGTGTGGAGCTCCCTGAGCCTGGACCCTTTATATCCCTGCCCAGGGTCATGTGTGAGGCTGGGCACACATTTCCTGGTTCCTGTTTGTGCCATTTTTAGGGCCCCTTTTTCTTGTTTCCTCTAGAAATCCGCCCCTTGGTGTATGGGCTGCTCAGTGGGCTGCTGCTCTCTTGCTGAATCTGTGTCCAGACTTAATGGAGGCCCCCAAGGGTCTAGCCTCTCCCTGTTGACTCCAGAGTCACACTGGATTTACAAAAGCATCTATTTTAGGCTGGGCATGGTGGCTCACACCTGTAATCTCAGCACTTTGGGAGGCCTAGGCAGGTGGATCACTTGAGGTGAGGGGTTGGAGACCAGCCTGGCCAAAATGGTGAAATCTCGTGTCTACTAAAAACACAAAAATTAACTGGGTGTGGTGGCTCACATCTGTAATCCCAGCACTTTGGGAGGCCGAGGCAGGTGGATCATTTGAGGTCAGGAGTTGGAGACCAGCCTGCCCAACATGGCAAAACCCCATCTCTACTAAAAATACAAAAATTAGCCAGGCATGGTGGTGCATGCTTGTAACTCCAGCTACTTGGGAGGCTGAGGCAGGAGAATGGCTTGAACCCAGAGGTGAAGGTTGCAGTGAGCAGAGATCACACCACTGCACTCTAGTGTGGGCAACAGAGCGGGACTCTGTCTCAAAAAAAAAAAAAAAGTGATCTATTTTAGTTGAACGATGGTATAAAGAGTAATATATTTAAAAAATGTAAAAAAAAACCCTACTCAACTTGGGAAAAAATGGCATAAATAAATGAAGTCTCTGTTCCTCCATCTCTCCATATTGTTTCTGTCCCACCCTAATAATTTCTTGAATTTGGAATTCACCACTCTCATGAAGGTCCTCACACTCCTACTTAATATGTATGTTCCTTTAAAAATGTTTTGTGGCCAGGCGCGGTGGCTCACACCTGTAATTTCAGCACTTTGGGAGGCTGAGGTGGGCGGATCATTTGAGTCCAGGAGTTTGAGACCAGCCTCACTAACATGGTGAAACCTCGTCTTTACTAAAAATACAAAAATTAACCAGGTATGGTGGCATGTGCCTGTAATCCCAGCTATTCGGGAGGCTGAGGCAGGAGAATCGCTTGAACCTGGGAGGCAGTGGTTGCAGTGAGCTGAAATCACGCCATTGCACTCCAGCCTGGGCAACAGAGTGAGACTCTATCTCAAAAAAAAAAAAAAAAAAAGAAAAGAAAAAAGAAAAAAAAATTTTACATGCTGAAAACTTTATGTAATGGGTATTACACTGTATTTCTCTTTCTGTAAATTGCTTTTGAAAAAAATAGGTGTTAGGCTAAAGAGATTTTCTCTAGGGATACATATGGTTTTAATTTATTTGTTTTCTCTGATTTCTAAATATACATTGACTTATCCATTTACTTGTTGATGGACCTTTTGTTTCCTTTTTGTTGCTATTTCAAGCAAGCTGCAACTTTCTTGCCCAAAACCCCTCCTGCAGGTGTGGGTGCCTGAAAGTCAGGAGGTTCTTGTTACCAAGCTGTCTTCCCAAGGGATCCCCCCAGCCAGCTGCTGTCCAACCAGCATTGCCAGAGAGCTCCTGTTTCCTGGCACCCCCACCAAAACTTGCAACTGTCAACTTACACCCTTCATGTGGGTGTGTAACACAGTGTTACACACTGTGGTTTAATATTCCCTCTTCCTGGTTACTAGCCATGCTGTGCCTCTTTCCATATGGTCACCTGTCATTAGAGTCTCGTTAATTTCACGTCCTTGGCCCACTTTACAAAATTGAGATAGTTATTATTATTAATTTTTGAGATGGAGAGTCTTGCTCTGTCTCCCAGGCTGTAGCGCAATGGTGCGATTTCGGCTCACTGCAACCTCCGCTTTCCATGCTCGAGCAATTCTCCTGCCTCAGCCTCCCGAGTATCTGGGATTACGGGCATGTGCTACCACACCTGGCTAATTTTTGTATTTTTAGTAGAGTCAAGGTTTCACCATGTTGGTCAGGCTGGTCTTGAACTCCTGACCTCAAGTGATCCACCCACCTCGGCCTCCCAGAGTGCTGGGATTACAGGTGTGAGCCACCACACCTGGCCAAGATCATTATTATTTTTATTGGTGTCTGAAGTTCTTTGAATTTTCTGGATTCTTTTATTTTGAGATGGAGTCTTGCTCTGTTGCCAGGCTGGAGTGCAGTGGCATGGTCTCGGCTCACTGCAGCCTCTGACTCCCTGGTTTGAGCAATTCTCCTGCTTCAGTCTCCCCTGGGATTACAGGCACGTGCCACCACACCCAGCTAATTTTTGTATTTTTAGTAGAGACAGGGTTTCACCGTGTTGGCCAGGCTGGTCTCCTGACCTCATGATCCACCTGCCTCAGCCTCCCAAAGTGCTGGGATTACAGGCGAGAGCCACAGCGCCCAGCCTTTTGTTTCTTCTTCTTCTTCTTCTTCTTTTTTTTTTTTTTTTTTTTGAGACAGAGTCTCGCTCTGTTGCGCAGGCTGGAGTGCAGTGGTGTGATCTCGGCTCACTGCAACCTCTGCCTCCGAGTTCAAGCAATTCTCCTGCCTCATCCTCCTGTGTTTCTTCTTAACATAGATGTCATTTATTCTAAGTTTTTCAAATTTATTGGGATGTACTTTTCATAGTTGCCTCTGTTTTTGAAGATGGGATCTTGCTATGTTGTCCAGGCTGGGGTGCAGTGGCCGTTCACAGGCACCATCATAGCTCACTGCAGTCTCG
The DNA here is from genome assembly GCF_000001405.40 of Homo sapiens. Taxonomy (NCBI): domain Eukaryota; kingdom Metazoa; phylum Chordata; class Mammalia; order Primates; family Hominidae; genus Homo; species Homo sapiens. The sequence continues at coordinate 70,292 of NT_187584.1, forward strand.
AACTCACGCCTGGCCTCAAGTGGTCCTCAGCCTCTGAAGTAGCTGGGACTACTACAGACTACCACATTTGACTACTACAAATCCCTACCGTGTGCCACCACGCCTGGCTTAGTAGCCTGTTATTTTTAATAGCTGCTAAATTTGTCATTATTTGCTTTCTTTTCTTTCTTTTTTTTTTATGGCAGGGTCTCACTCTGTCACCCAGGCTGGAGTACAGTGGTGTGATCTCGGCTCACCACAACCTCTGCCTCCCGGGTTCAAGTAATTCTCCTGCCTTAGCCTCCCGAGTAGCTGGGATTATAGGCACCTGCTATCATGCCTGGCTAATTTTTGTATTTTTAGTAGAGATAGGGTTTTGCCATGTTGGCCAGCCTGGTCTCGAACTCCTGGCTTCAGGTGATCCACCTGCCTTGGCCTCCCACGGTGCTGGGATTACAGGCGTGAGCCACCGTGCCCAGCCTATTTGCCGTTTTTCATCCCTGCTTCAGGTTATACATGCTCTTTCTCCTGCCCGACCCTTTTTTTCCTCATTGGTTTTGCTAAATATTGTTGATTTTCTTTGTCTTTTGAAAGACCAGCTTTTGATTTTGTTGATTCTGTTTGTTGTATGTGTTAAACATTTTTATTTAGTTCTGCTCATATCTTTATTTTCTCCATTGTTCTTTTTGCACTTTCTAAACATGCGGGTGCTGGGGTGCGTGACTGTCTGCTGGACGTGGACTGTCAGGCCAGGAGGCGTGCGATAGAGAGTCACTGCCATCTGGGCTTTCTATCTGTCCCTCCTTCCTTCCCTCCCTCCCTCCCTCCCTTTTCTGCAGTCATTTTCATTCAGCTTCTTTCAGCCTTTCTGCAAGCTTCTGGGTGAGGTAACTACTGTGGGGCTGCTTTAAAAGCTCCCATATTTTGGGGTCTCTGTTCTTTACCCGATGAGCTAAGCCTGTGGGGTTTGCTGTGATTTCTGACATACGTGGGCTGCTTCCCACCACCCTTTGCATTTCACCATCCTGTGGTAGTGCTTCCTTCCCCTCTTCTTTTAGATGGAGTTTTTAAGGTTCTGTTTTTGTTTTTATTTTGTTTTGCTTTGACTGACTTAGAAGTTATATACACTATTCCTGTTTTTAGCAGCAACCTTATGCATTTCATGTGTATTTTTAAACAAATGTTGTCTACACGTGATGGCCCTCTATTCCTCCCCTGCTGAGAGTTGTGCAGGGAGCTGGGGACAGCTTCTTCCCCTGCCCAGCCCCTCCGGTGTCAGCTGTGGGAGTTTCTCCAGCGTCTTAGCTCCTCTCACATTGCTCATCATTGTTTATTTATAGTCAGTATTTGCTTAAACTTGCCACACATCCACCAACAACTCTAGGCGTGGTTCTTGCTTACACCATACTTCTTCCTTCCGGGCTCAGCTTCCTTCTTCCTGAAAACATCCTCCGGAAGTTCCCTCACAAGCATTCATCAGTAGACAGTCTGCATTTTTACATGGAGGTGGCTTGTTTCCTGCTCCTCCTGAGCATTCATCAGTAGACAGCCTGCATTTTCACATGGAGGTGGCTTGTTTCCTGCTCCTCCCGAGCATTCATCAGTAGACAGCCTGCATTTTCACATGGAGGTGGCTTGTTTCCTGCTCCTCCCGAGCATTCATCAGTAGACAGCCTGCATTTTCACATGGAGGTGGCTTGTTTCCTGCTCCTCCCGAGCATTCATCAGTAGACAGCCTGCATTTTCACATGGAGGTGGCTTGTTTCCTGCTCCTCCCGAGCATTCATCAGTAGACAGCCTGCATTTTCACATGGAGGTGGCTTGTTTCCTGCTCCTGGGCTCAAGCCATCCTTTCTCCTCAGCCTCCCCAGCAGCTGGGATGACAAAGGCACACCATCACACTCAGCTAATTTTAATTTCTGTGTAGAGATGGGGTCTCTCTAAGTTGCCCAAGCTGGTCTAGAGTTCCTTGGCTCAAGCAACCCTCCCACCTTGGCCTCCCAAAGTGCTGGGATTACAGACGTGAGCCACTATGCCTGGCCTGCCCTCACTTTTGAATAATGCTTTGGTTGGCACAAAATTCCTCAGTGCTTGAAAGGTGTCACTGGCGGCTGTTTCGTCTGTTGCTGCTGTCACTTTCTCTGCCCCTCCGCTGGAGTCCCCAGCCTTCTGAGTCTGCTGTGGAAGCTGGAGTCTCTGGCCTTCTGTGTCCGCTGTGAAAGCTGGAGTCCTGGTCTTCCGTGTCTACTGTGGAAGCTGGAGCTGCCTGGCCTTCTGTGTCTGCTGTGCAGGCTGGAGTCCCTGGCCTTCCATGTCTGCTGTGGAAGCTGGCTTGCACATTTGGTTCTCCCACCTGCTTCATGCCATGTCCTTCCTGGACCGAGGGTTCCAGTTTCAACCTTGGGAGACTCTCCCTGTCTCACCTCTCCCGAGTCTCTCTCATCTCTAGTTGGACAAATGTCAAATCTACTACATGTCCCCATATGTCTTTTTTTTTTTTTTTTTTTTTAAGACAGAGCCCTGTTCTGTTGCCTAGGCTGGAGTGCAGTGGCAAGATCTTGGTTCACTGCAACCTCCAACTCCCGGAGTCAAGTGATTCTTCTACCTCAACCTCCCAAGTAGCTGGGATTACAGGCGCCTGTCACCATGCCCAGCTATTTTATTTTATTTTATTTTTTGTATTTTTAGTAGAGAAGGGGTTTCACCATGCTGGCCAGGCTGGTCTCAAACTCCTGACCTCATGATCCGCCTGCCTTGGCTGCCCAAAGTGCTGGGATTACAGGCGTGAACCACTGCGCCTGGCCCCCATGTGTCTTTTTTAAAAAAAGAAAACCGTTTTATTGAGATAAATGTGCATATACAGTTTGTCTATTTAAAAGTCCACAATCTGGCCAGGCGTGGTGGCTCACACCTGTAATCCCTGCACTTTGGGTGGCTAAGGTGGGTGGATCACCTGAGGCCAGGAGTTCAAGACCAGCCTGGCCAACATGATGAAACTCTGTCTCTACTAAAAATACAAAAATTAGCTGGGTGTGGTGGTGCATGCCTGTAATCCCAGCTACTTGGGAGGCTGAGGCAGGAGAATGGCTTGAACCCAGGAGCGGAGGTTGCAGTGAGCTGAGATCTTGCCACTACACTCCAACTTGGGCAACAGAGTGAGACTCCATCTCAAAAAAATAAATAAATAAAAGAAGACCGTCATAAGTGGAGAAATATATCATGTTCATGGGTGGAAAGTCTTAACATTATAAAAAGTTCAGTTTCTTATATTCATACATTCAATGGATTTTATTCAATTAAAATTCCAGAAGGATTTAATTCTGAAAATTATTCCATAGATCTAAAATTTATGTGCAAACTTGTGAATAACTGAGACACTCCTGAATAATATTCAGAAGGGGTAGTCTCTGCCTGATATTAAGGCATAATAAAGTCTTCGTTGTTAAAACAGTTTGCTACTAGCACATGAATGGATAAATAGTTAGAAGTACAGAACAGGAACCCAGAAAAGACCCATCTATTGCAGAGCTTTAATTTTTTTTTTTTTTTTTTTTGAGATAGAGTTTCACTCTTATTGCCCAGGCTGGAGTGCAATGGCACGATCTTGGCTCACCACAACCTCCACCTCCCGGGTACAAGCAATTCTCCTGCTTTAGCCTCCCGAGTAGCTGGGATTACAGGCATGCACCACCACACTGGCTAATTTTGTATTTTAGTAGAGACGGGGTGTCTCCGTGTTGGTCAAGCTGGTCTCGAACTCCTGACCTCAGGTGGTCCACCTGCCTCAGCCTCCCAAAGTGCTGGGATTACAGGCGTGAGCCACCGTGCCCAGCCAGAGGAGCTTTAATCTTTAACAAATTGAATGGGGAAGATGGCTCACTCTATGCAGAGAATTAAAATTAGATGCCTACCTCACACCCTCTATAATCCACATGGATTGAAGACCTAAAAGGATATGTAAAAGTGAAAGGAAAATATAAAAAGAGTGGAAGATAATATAGGAGATTGTGTTTATTATCTTGGGGTCAGGAAATGAATTCTTAAATATGATCCCCAGAACATAAACAGTAATTAGGAAAATGCTGTATTTAACCACATCAAAATTACTGATATATGTCTGGATATCACCCCACAAAAAAACCATTAAAAGATGATTGGGGCCAAGTGTGGTGGGTCACCCCTGTAATCCCAGCACTTTGGGAGGCCGAGGTGGGCAGATCACCTGATGTCAGGCGTTCGAGACCAGCCTGACCAACGTGGTAAAACCCCATCTATACTAAAAATACAAAATTAGCCAGGTGTGGTAGTGCATGCCTGTAATCCCAGCTACTCGGGATGCTGAGGCAGGAGAATTGCTTAAACCTGGGAGGTGGAGGTTGCAGTGAGCCGAGATTGCACCATTGCACTCCCGCCTGGGCAGCAAGGTGAAACTCCGTCTCAAAAAAAAAGAAGATTGATCAACTGGGAGAAGATATTTGCCATTTGCCATATTTATAACCCCTAGAAGCTAATGTCTAGACAGGAACCCTGAAAATCAACAGAAGAGGGCAGGAGACCTAGTGGAGAAGTGGGCAAAGCATAGGAATAGACCACCCACAGATGGCTAGTGAGGACGCGAAAAGACCTTCAACCTTATTTTTAATCAGAGTTAAGCAATGAAAACAAAACGCCCCTGGTTTTTGAAGAGAATGGAAACACCTGCAGTCTTACTGATATGTTACATTTAGCGCGTGGTATTTAGTGAGAGGCGTGAGCAGCTATGTGCTTACCTGCAGCATACAGCGGGAGTCGTTACGTGACTTCTGCCTTTCAAGCACATACAGTGTAATGGGATCCATCCATCACACAAATATACTAGCTCTGTACACAGCCTTGAGGAGGAGCAATATTTTTGGTTGTTATAAACTGCATTTTTTTTTTTTGGTATGGCCTTTTGATTCTGGGAAGCACATTCATTCTATGGCTATTGCCTTTTTAGATCATGAAAGCATCATTCCATATTGATGAAGAAGATGTAGATATGGCACTGATCAACACCTCAGTCGCCTTCCTTCCAAAACAGATACTTCTCAAGAAATCTGGGGCCGGGTGTAGTGGCTCACGCCTGTAATTCCAGCACTTTGGGAGGCCAAGGTGGGCAGATCACAAGGTCAGGAGATGGAGACCATCCTGGTTAACACAGTGAAAACCCATCTCTACTAAAAATACAAAAAATTATCCGGGCGTGGTGGCGGGTGCCTGTAGTCCCAGCTACTCAGGAGGCTGAGGCAGGAGAATGGCGTGAACTCAGGAGGCAGAGCTTGCAGTGAGCTGAGATCGTGCCACTGCACTCCAACCTGGGCGACAGAATGAGACTGTATCTCAAAAAAAAAAGGAAAAGAAATCTGTTCTCCCAGGCTCCCCATTTCAGCATCCCACTCATTGATCATTGAAAACTCATTCACTAGGTTCACCACTCCTGGGTGTTATGCTGAGCAATGAGGATATTCATCATGGTGGATTATATGGCAGCAAAGAGCTCAAAAAAGGGTGATGGATGTGGGAAATGGGGGGCAGGAATCTAGTGGAACACACTTCAGTGGCCAGAAATAATGCATTGTATTTTCATGTAGCAATACATGCCAAAAGCACCAGATTTGCTTAAAACGCAAGAAACAGAACAGAATTTATAACCATCATGAATTTAAATAACATACACAAGGCTGGACACAGTGGCTCACGTCTGTAATCCCAGCACTTTGGGAGGGCCAGGCAGGTGGATTACTTGAGTCCAGGAGTTCGAGACCAGCCTGGGCAACGTGGTGAAACCCTATCTCTACAAAAAATACAAAAATTAGCCAGGTGTGGAGGTGCGACTGTAGTCCCAGCTACTTGGGAGGCTGAGGCAGGAGGATCGTTTGAGCCCGGGATGTGGAGGTTGCAGTGAGCTGAGATTGCACCGTTGCACTCTATCTCCAGCTTGGGTGACAGAGCAAGACCTGTCTCAAAAACAAAACCAAAACCAAATACATACACATTGAAAAATGCTACATATTTGTCATGATTATATGCAAATGTTTGTAAATAACTTATGGAAGATGAATTGGAAAGATACCTGCAAGGATGGATGCCTATGGGTGGAGAGGATGATGGGACTTGGGATAATGAAGGAGAAAAAAGTTAAATAAAAACAATGTCTATATAGGATTCATTAGCTGAGGATTGTGATCTATAAAATTCTCAGCACATATATGATGCATGCATATATATATATATGTATATATATATTTTTTGAGATGGAGTCTCACTCTGGTTGCCCAGGCTGGAGTGCAGTGGCGTGATCTTGGCTCACTGCAACCTCTGCCTCCTGGGTTCAAGCGATTCTTCTCCCTCAGCCTCCTGAGTAGCTGGGATTACAGGCGTGCCCCACCATGCCCAGCTATTTTTTTTGTTAGTTTTAGTAGAGATTGGGTTTCACCACGTTGGTCAGGCTGGTCTCAAACTTCCGACCTCAGGTGATCTGTGCGCCTCAGACTCCCAAAGTGCTGGGATTACAGGTGTGAGCCACTGCACCCAGCCAGGCCTTTGTTTTTATTTTGCCTACTATTAGTATAGCTTGCTTTGCATGTTATGTCTTTTTCTACCCCCCCTTCTTTTTTTTTTTTTACATTTTTGAATCCTTATGTTTTAGATGCAACTTTTGACTTTACATCTAGTTATACATTTTTTAAGAAAACTTGTCTAGCAATCTTTATATGTAAACTAGAGCATTTTGTCCATTTACTTGTGAAATAATTACTGAAATATTTGGGTTTAAAACCTATGTTCTTAGTCTGAATTTTCTATTGCATCACCTGATCTATATTTCTTTTTCTCTTCTGTTCTTTTTGATTAGTGCTTTTTTATTCTAGTTTTTTATGTAATTGTTTGACTGTCATACATGACTTTGGTTAGGAGTCTTGGATCTTCTTTGCTTCTTTTCAATTTTTGTCATTGTCTCTTGAATCCTTTTTAGTTCTTCATTTCTTTTTGGTTTTTAAAATTTATTGTACTTTTTTACTCATACGTTTGTCCCACTTTAGACTTTATTTCTAGAGTGATTTCTTTTAACTCTAATTTTCTCTTAAGTGATGTCCCCTCATTTAGCAATTCTTCTATTTATGACTTTTGTTGTTCATTTATGTCTCTTTTTTTGAGATGGGGTTTCACTCTGTTGCCCAGGCTGGAGTGCAGTGGCAGGATCATAGCTCACTGCAGCCTCAACCTCCTAGGCTCAAGCAATCCTCCCGCCTCAACTTCCCTAGCAGCTGGGATTAAAGACACACACCACCATACCCACTTAGTTTTTAAAATGTTTTGTAGAGGTGGGGGTCTCACTATGTTGCCCAGGCTGGTTTTGAACTCCTGGCCTCAAGTGATCCTCCTGCCTCACCTCCCAAAGTGCTGGGATTACAGGTGTGAGCCACCGCGCCCGGCCTTATTTATGTCTGGTATCATTTCCTTTCATTGTTCATTAGCTCCTTTGGAAACAGTAGGCTACCACTGTGATCTGTTTCACGGCAGGCTTCCTAGCTTTCTTCCATTGCCTCTAGGGACTTACCGAGGGCCCTTGCACCCACTCACCACTAGAGGGAGGAAAACCTTCCCCATTTCAGGAGCCAAATCCAAAATTCATGCTGCGCTTTTCCAGCACACACCTGTTGGCTCTTTTGAGGTTCCCCTGTTTTCGTCTCTGTTAGATGTTTCTTCGCTTTCTCCTGCACAGACACTGAAACCCTGGGGGACTGTGGCTCTTGGAAATTTATCCCCACCTTCTTGTACTTTTAGGTTCACCTGCTTTTTCTTAAGACACCATCTCACTTTATATTGCCCAGGCTGGAGTTCAGTGGTGCGATCACAGCTCACTGCAGCCTCAGACTCCTAGGCTCAAGCCATCCTCCTGCCTCAGTCTCCCAAGTAGCTGGGGCTGCAGGTTTGCGCTACCATGCCTGGCTTACCTGGTTTTGTTATAAGTCTCCAGCATGCATTTTTGGTTTTGTTACCGAGTTGCTCGGTGTCCTGTGGGCTGTGGGAATGTACAGGGCCCAAATGTAATGAACTCTGCGTTCATGTCTGCTGCCACCTTCTGGAGTTTCCCAGTTTGGATTTTTGAGTAAACTGTCTTAAGCAGCATTTCCTTTTAACGTCGTGAAACTAACGATAGCCATGTCCCCTAGCAAGATGCACCTTTGACACACTTTTATTCCCTCTCCTAAAAGTGGCTGAATTAATCTAAGCCTTTATTTCTAGATTATTTCATTTTTCCTTACATTGCATCTCTTTTCTCTCAGAAATTTGTCCTGGAAATTCCCACTCTGCTCTTCCCTGGCATTATCAGCAGTCGCTTAGATCTGTGGGTGTTCTGTGGGAGCTCATTTCTCACCAGCGCTCCCTGTGTGCTCTCTTCCCTCCACCTTTTCCCTCCAGGTTCGCTTGTCTGGAGATCATCCTCAGATCACTCTCGTCCCCTCCTCCCCAGTGCGTGATTTCTAAAGCCTTGCCTGTGACACTGGTCAGAGAACAGGCTCAGCGTGGTGGCACGTCACCATGAAACAGATGGACTTGGCTCAGGGTCCCCAAATGTGTCATTTCCCAGGAACTCCCCTTTCCTGCCGGGAGACTGAGCTCCGAGGACACCTTGGGCCATTCTGTAACTTCCTGGTTACCTTTAGTTATGGAAAGCCGTTGACCTCATGATTGTAAAAGGCTAATTGAGTGTTTGAATCAGACCGCGCTGGAGCTCAGCGGTGCTTCACTCCTCCCTCCTCCGACCTTGCCCTGCCTGGGGTCCTTCCGAGGCCCCAGAGGAGAGCGGGAAGCTGGAAGCCATGGGTCTTGTGCAAGGCCCTGCTTGGCTGGTCGTCAGGACTCAGGGCCCGCCTGCCCCTCTGCGCCTCTAGGGCGGGCATTGAATGCCGAATCCTCCCCGGGCTGAGCCCTCTTCTCCTGCAAGCAGAGACTGTGAAGATATTTGAGGCCGAGAGGAGGACAGAAGGGAATGGCAGGCTTTTTTGTGAATGTACCAGGCCTGCTGGCAGGCGTTTCCCAGCTTAGCTGACAGATCAGAACACAGAATCGGTCACCGCACAGGAAAGGGGTTGGACAGAATTGCACCAAGTATACAGTTGATTTACAGACATGAGAGGCTTTATTGCAAGGAAATTCATTCATTATTTTGTTATTTTTTTTTAAACAGATGGAGACAACAGGAAGGAAAGAGACCTTCCTGGTCACACTTGGGCCACAGGAGAACAGGCAGCGGCCCAGGAGGATCCAGGGTCCTGATGGTGGTTGAGAAGCTGGTTCTTAGTGATCACTCAGAAACGTCGGCCTGGCCTTGTGGGGTCAGACCTTGCATCTCAGTCAGCCCAGGGAGAAGAAGAAGATGGTCCACACCCAAGTGCAGGGAACATCGTGGCAGTCGGCTGGGTGCCTGCGTCCAGGCGAGGACACCTCCCGCATCAGGGAAACACACGTTTCTGGAGTGAGGAGGCTGAAGGCAGGGCCCAGAGGAGAGCTGAGCCATGGAAGGAGGTGTGTGCATGGATGGTGAGCTAGAGCAGGTGCAGGTGCCTCAGGGAGGATGTGTGGGACGAACTGACTCAGGGAACCATAAGAAATGCTTTCACCAAACAGGAGAAACCTGAAGGTCTGGGTCCAGAGCCTCAGATCTTACACTGGCAGCACACAGGGACACAACAGTTGGACTGGCAGCAACAGGGCTTGCAGCAGCTGGACTGGCAGCACACGGGGACACAGCAGCTGGACTGGCAGCAGCAGGGCTTGCAGCAGCTGGACTGGCAGCAGGATGATCCACAGCCTGAGGAGCAGCAACAGGGCTTACAACAGCTGGACTGGGAGCAGCCACAAGAACCACAGCCCCCCTTGGAACCCCCACAGGAGCCACAGCCCCCCTTGGAGCCCCCACAGGAGCCACAGCCCCCCTTGGAGCCCCCACAGGAGCCACAGCTGGTGCAGGAACAGGCTGGCACCCAGGAGCACACGGGCTTGCAGCAGCAGACAGGCACATAACATCTGGAGCCACATCCCCCACAGCTGGAGCTGCAGCCCCCACAGCCAGAGCCACAGCCCCCACGGCCGGAGCCACAGCCCCCACAGCCAGAGCCACAACCCCCACAGCTGGAGCCACAGCCCCCACAGCCGGAGCCACAGCCTCTGGAGCAGCCACAGCAGCCCATGGTTCTGGTGGATTGAGGGTGGAGCAGGTAGAGGAGCAGGTGAGAGGGAGGTGCAGGTGTGGAGCTCCCTGAGCCTGGGCTCTTTATATACCTGTCCAGATGTCAGGCATGACACAGGGTCCCTTTCTTGTGACTGTTTACACTATTTTTCCAGAGCTCTATTTTTTTCCTCTTTGCTAGTGACTTCCTTCTGGCTCAGTTGAGCATCTACTTTCTTTGTTTTCTAAATTTGTCTTTTTCCCCATTTGTTTTGGCCCCTACAATTAAAACCTCAGCTCCAGGCTGTCTGGTTCTTCCTGCAAAGCTCCAGGGTGCTGGTCACCTGCTCTCTGCTGACCACATGTGACCAATGGGCAACAGCCTCTGCCCACGTGCTCTCATCTTTCCTGTGTTGACTCCCTCAATAATATTAATTTTACATTTTTAGATTTCAAAATTATCCACGATCTTTATACTCATGCCAGTCTCAGCTTTCCGGGTGTGTTAGACCATTCTTTGCATTGCTCTAAAGAAATACTTGAGGCTGGGTAATTTATAAAGGAAAGAGGTTAGAATGGCTCATGGTTCTGCAGGCTGCACAAGCATGGCACCCACCTCTGCTCAGCTTCTGGGGAGGCCCTCAGGGAGTTTTCCTCACGGTGGAAGGCGAAGCAGGAACAGGCACACCACATGGTGAGAGTGGGAGCAAGGGGTGAGGAGGAGCCACACACTTGTGAACAACCAGATCTGAGTGAACACACTCATCGCCAAGGGGGTGGCACTAAGTCACTCATGAGGGATCCACCCCCATGACCCAGACACCTCCCTGCAGGCCCCTCCTTCAACACTGGCCAACAACTATATGAAAAAATGCTCCACATCACTAACTATTCGGGGAATGTAAATCGAAACCACCACGAGATACCATCTCATATCAGTCAGAATGGCTTTTGATAAAAAGTAAAAAACAAAACAAAACAAAAAAACCTAAAATCAGATGCTGGCAAAGCTTGAGAGAGAAGGGAACACTTGTACACTGTCGGTGGGAATGTAAATGAATTCAGCCACCACGGAGAGCAGTTTGGAGATTTCTCAAAGAGCTAAGAATTGAACTACTATTTGACCCAGCAATCTCATGATTGGGTATATACCCAAAGGAAAATAAATCAATCTACCAAAAAGACACATGCATCCATATGTTAATTGCAGTGCTATTCACAAAAGCAAAGATGTGGAATCAACCCAGGTGCCCATCAATGGTGGATTGGATAAAGAAAATGTGGTACATATACACCATGGAATACTACACAGCTGCAAAAAAGAACGAAGTCATATCTTTTGCAGCAGTATGGATGAAGCTGGAGGCCGTTATCCTAAGGGAACTAATGCAGAAGCAGAAAACCAAATACCACATATTCTCACTTATAAGTGAGAGCTAAACTTTGAGTCCACATGGACATAAAGATGAAAACCATAGACACTGGGGAACAAGAGGAGGGAGGAAGGGAGGGAGGGGGCAAAGGCTGAATACTGGGGAACAAGAGGAGAGAGCAAGGGGGCAAGGACTGAAAAACTACTGGGTACCACAGTCACTATTTTGGTGATGGATTCATTCATACTCCAAACCTCAGCATCACACAATATACCCATGTGAAAAACCTGCACATGTACTGCCTGATTCTAAAATAAAAGTTGAAGAAAAAGTTCTTTATATACTCTAGATACTAGATGCTTATCAGATATCTGATTTGTAAATCTTTTCTTCCTTTATTATGTAGACTGTTCTTTCACTTTGTTGATAGCGTCCTTTGGTGCAAAAATATTTAACTTTTGATGGCATCCAATGTATTTGTATTTCTCTTTTGTTGCTGGTGCTTTTGGTGTCCTATCTATGAATCCACACCGAATCCAAGGTCATGTTTTCTTTTAATAGTTTTATAGATTTGACTCTTAAATGTAGGCCTTTTGACCCATTTTAAATTAATTAGTGTATGTGGTGTGAAGTAGGGGTCCAGCTCATTCCTGTGCATGTGGATGTCTAGTTTCCCAGCATCATTTGTTGAAGTACTGCTCTTCCTCCATTGAATGATCTGGCACCCTGTCAAAAATCAGTTGGTCATCTACATGAGGGTTTATTTCTGGCTCTCAATTCTATTCCACTGGTTTATACATTTATTCTAACAACAGTGCTAAACTGCCCTGATGACTGCAGCTTTGTAGTAAGTTTTCAAATTGGCAAGTGTGAGCCCTCCAACATTGTTCTTCTTTTTAACCTTGTTTTAGCTATTCCGGGTCCCTTGAGATTCCACATGAACTTTAAAATCAGCCTGTGAATTTCTACAAAGAAGCCAGCTGCTTTCCTGATAGAGATTGCATAGACTCTGTAGATCAATTTTGGGGGTATTGCCATCTGAAAAATGTTAAGTCTCCTGATACATGAACATCAGTCTGCTTTTGGGCTGCCATAACAAAATACCACGGATTTGGTGGCCCAACAACAGGCATTTATTTTCTCACAATTCAGAAGTCCAAGATCGGGTGCAAGCAACTTTTGTTTCTGGTGAGGGCTCTCTCCTTTGGTTGCAGATGGCCGCTTTCCCACTCTTTGCTCACATGGCCTTTCCTTTGTGTGTGGAGAGAGAAAGAGTTGGAGGGAGGAAGAGAGAGAGAGAGAGAGAGAGAGAAAGAGAGAGCGAGACAGAGGCAAATGCTCCCTGGTGTCTCTTCTTATGAAGATGCAAATCCTGTGGAAGCCCTTATGACCTTACGTAACCTTAATTTCTTCCTTGGAGAACTCGTCTCCATATACAACCACAATGGGAGTGATGGATTCAACATATGAATTTGAAAGAACATGAATATTCAGTCCACAACAAATCTGGGATGTTTTAGATCTTCTTTAGTTTCTTTCAACAGTGTTTTGTCACTTTCAGAGTTGCAAGTGAGTAGAAATACAATTGATTTTTATATATTGGTCCTGTATTCTGAAAACTTGCTGGATTCATTTATTAGTTCTATAATCTATAAAACACTGGCCGAGCACGATGGCTCATGCCTATAATCCCAGCAATTTGGGAGCCCAAGGCAGGTGGATCACATGAGGCCAAGAGTTCAAGACCAGCCAGGCCAACATGGTGAAACCTCATCTCTACTAAAAATATAAAAACTAGCTGGGCACGGTGGTGCATGCCTGTAATCACAGCTACTTGGGAGGCTGAGGTGGAAGAATTGCTTGAACCAAGGAGGCAGAGGTTGTAGTAAGCTGACATTGTGCCACTGCACTCCAACAACCGAGCGAGACCCTGTCTCAAAAAAAAAATCTATAAAACATTAGTAGCTCTTACAAATTGACAAGTAGAATACAAACAACCAAGTTTTTAAAAAGATGATTCTCTGATAAACAAATGGAAGTGTGCAATTAAAAATATAAAAAGTAAATCAGACTCACTGGTAGTCAGATACACGGGATCTTTTCTGTGGAGTCCTAATGATGGAAAAGGAGCCAGGTTGGTTGGACCAAGGGAAAGCAAAAAGAGAAGGCAGATGAACTACAAGTCTGCCTTTCTTCCTGGTGCAGGACTTAGCCCTCCTATGCAAATAACTCACATAACTCACAATCTTCCTGCACTCAACTTATGACCTCAGTTGATAGAAAAATGCAAATTAGCTCACTGAAACCTTGGCATTATCAGCACTGCATGTAACCCTCTCCGGCACAAGCACCATCCTATAAAATCCCCAGCAAGCCTTTGTCTCCTGGCAGCCAGCTCCTCCCTTGCTGACCTGCCCTTTCCATTCTTGCAACGTATTTTCCTACATTCTCTAATAAATCTGCCTTTCCTTACCTACAACTGTCTTGGTAAATTCCTTTTCTGCCCACGCTAGTGGACTCAGTTAGTGGCTACCTGCAACATTTTATATCTACTAGACTGACCAAAATTAACAAGAATAATAACACCTATTGCTAGTGAAATTGGGGGAAAAGGTACTCATACATTGTTCTGGGGATACAATTTATTACAGTTTTTTTGAAAACAATATCTAATAAAATTAGGTCATATCAATACAATTAGTCTTGAAATTACTGAAAAAAGATTAAACGTAAACATATTCGTGTATACATATATGTGTATGATCTATTATTTACAGTGTCAGAAAAAGAATCCTAGCAAATTGAAAATTAATACTAAAAGTCATACCCACTAAAAAATAAGATTACACCTGTACCAGTGGACTTGGAGAAATTTCCTCAAGGCTCTGGCTAGTGTGAAATGTAGATGCAGAGAAATGAGCCCTGTAGGATCCTATTTTAGTAGCAAGCAATAAAAATATCTTTTACACATATGTTGAGTGTGTGCCTGGGGTACGTAGGACAGTGGCTGGGTGGAGTGGGGAAGGTGTGTAGGAATCAACAAAAAGCAAATGACAGTGAAAAGTGAGTCCAGTATGTGTGATCCTACTTGTGGAAAAACTCCACATATATGAATACGCATGCGCGTAAAGAAACATAGACTTATACCCAGATCTACTTCCTAGGAGAGGCAACCATGATACAAGTTCTAGTGAAAAGAATTAAGTTGCAAAGAAATGTGGATAATAAAATCCGAATTGGTAGCAATACCCAATTGTGTATGCGCATCTATTTTTTATACATTGTATGTGCAAGTAGGAGGGTTGGGTGGGGGTGCCTGTGGGGCCTGGCACTGGGGGTGGCTTTTATTGTTTTTTAATTGTGTATATTTAAGACATACAATTCGATGATCTCATATATGTCTACATTGTGAAATAATCACCACAGTCAAGATAATTAAGACATCTGCCACTTCACATAGCTCTCTCTCTCTCTCTCTCTTTTCTTGGTGGTGAGAACATGTAGGATCTACCCTCTCAGTACGTTTTAAGTACATAATAAACACCGTGTTGTTACCTGTGGTCACTTTGCTATGCATTGGGTCTCCAAGCCTTATTTATCTTGAAGAACTGAAGCTTTGGACCCCTGGGCCAGCACCTCCTCATTTCCCCTTTCCCTGCCTCTGGTTCCCATGCTTGCACTCTGTGCTTCTGTGAGTTTCACTCCTGTAGACTCCATGTGTGAGGGAGAGCGTGTGATGTCTGTCTTTCTGTGTCTGCCTCTTTTCACCCTGTGTAATGTCCTCCAGATTTGTACATGTTGTTGTAAGTAACCAGATCTCCTTCTTTTGAAAGCTGAAGAATATTCCATATATACACGTATAGATGTATGCATATATTCCACATTTTGAAAAAGTCAAATACATAGAAACATAGAATAGAACAGTAGTTACCAGGGTCTGGAGGAAGAAGGAAAGGGGGAGGAGGAGGTCAAGGGCTTGCGGTTGTGTAGGAGAGGGAGCCGAGCAGTCCAGTGCACAGTGCAAGGACTACAGGTGACAGTCAGGTGTTGTGTGTGGCAGGTGTGCTGAGAGAAGACTCCAGGTGCTCCTACCACACACACATACACACACACTAACATCGTACACACATACTTACCCTCATACACACACATACACACACACACTCACCCTCATACACATACATACATACACACAGTCTCACACACAATTAAAAACACACCTTACACACACTCATACACACATAATCATACAAACACACACACTCATACACATGCATACACACTCATACACACACTTATCCAAACACACCCATGCACACACACTTATACACACACATACAAAAAGGAACCATGGAAGGTGTTGGAGATATTAATTGCAGCCATCATTTCAGTAGTGTACATGTTTACCACAGCACCATGTTGTCCACCATGAATATGTACAATAAAAATAAATGTAAAAAAAGATGTGTCTTGGGAGAGTCCTTCATAATAACACCTGAGAGGTGTCACCTTTCTTGACTTTTTCTGACCATGAAATGCACCTGCCAAGGATGGCAGACGTAGGGAACTGACCTCCTGGGCCCTCACGTGCCCAATTATCTTTGGCCCTCCGGACTGGAGCAGTTTGTAGACCTTGGAAGCAGGGCCCCAGCACTGACTGCTTGGCCTCAGGCCTCTGCCCCATCGGTGGTCAGGTGGCGGCCACGAGGGCGTGGGAGCTTGGCCATCCCTGCCTCCTGGAGTGGACGAGGTTGGCGGCTGGTCAGCCTGCTCCTGCCCCACCCTTGCCTCATGGACCCTGGTAGCATCACTGGCTCAGCCTTGCTGGGCATGCACAGGCAGCAGCACCCGCTCTGATCCAGGAGGCTTGCCCTGCTTTTGGCTAAGTTCTGGGTCCGGCCACTGCCACAGAAGGCTCAGTCCCCTGTGTGATCCTCCTGGCTGCTGCTGGGTGCCCATGGCGCCCCTGATGCCCTTCCCTTGACAGGGCTTGGGTTAGCATCAGGCCAGGACCCTCTGGGACTGGGACTTGTGCCCTGTCTGGGGTCCCTGTCCCACAGGTTGGGCCAGAGGCCACAGGGCATGCTGCTGGCTGGCCATGGCTGCAGGAACGTGACACTCACCCTTCCCTCTGGCAGCCTCCAAGTGATGAGTTTTCCAGTGGATATTAATTTCCTGAGGCCAGGAGCCATCTGGGGCTACAGGGCAGCCTGCCGTGTGCCATCCTGGCCCCTTCCACACCATGCTGGCCACTGCCTGTCATGGGGGTCGGAAGCAGGCGATCCCGTGCAGGAGGTGTCTCTGGACCTGCCTCTTCTCTTGCTCATCACAAGGCCAGGCCAAGCCTGGTGTCAGGACCCTGGTGGGGTTGCAGGGCCAGGCCTGTCCCCTGTGCCTGGGGTGTCCAGGGCACACATAGAGGAAATAGGGGCCCTGCATCCCGGCTCCTCAATGTACTGTAGAAATCATGGGCCCTCAACATTCAGGTCCGTGGGAGGCATCCACAGAGACTTCCAATGAAGGAACTGTTAGACAACTCCTGGTCTCTCCTGAGCTGGGGACAGGCCAGCCACACCCTGAGCCCCTGGGGACCCCCAGAGAGTGGCCTACTGTCTTGGGCTCTGAGGAAGTGCTCTCATTGTAGAGCACGGGGGATGTTGTGGCCCACTCCTCTCAATTTTGCTGTGAACCTAAAACTGCTCTGAAAAAAAAGTCCATTAAAGGAACTAGCATGGGCTGATGGGGAGGGGCTCATTCACCCCTGAGTTGGACACCGTGTGGCTACGAATCCACCCTCAGACCACAGAGTGGATTTCGGCAGCAACACCACACCCTAGCCTCATCCTGAGCTCAAATTTAACTCAGATAGACCAGGCCCTTTTTCTATCGTTCTTAGCCACCATTAAACCAGGTCACTCGTTCTGTGTTTTTGCAATTGGCTTTTAAACAAAAGAGCTGGGTTTGGTGTATGTTTCCTTGTCAAATATTTTTTTCCAATAACACAGGTGGAAGAAAACAGACAGGGCCTCTTTCTGGTCCAGCCATGGGGTGGAGGCCGTTTTTGACTTTCACCTTCCTCTGTGGGTCCAGCTCTCTCTTGCTTGTTGGCTCTGAGGATTATTTAGTTTTTCAACAGCTCAGTGACTTAAAAAAAATATATATGCTTTAAACATAGCACTTTAAAGCTTTATTTATTTACTTACTTATGTATTTATTTATTTATTTATTTAGAGAAAGAGTCTAGCTCTGTCGCCCAGGCTGGAATGCAGTGGTGCGATCTAGGCTCGCTGCAACCTCCGCCTCCTGGGTTCAAGCAATTCTCTTTCGTCAGCCTCCCAAGTAGCTGGGATACAGGCGCCCACCACCATGCCTGGCTAATTTTTGTATTTTTAGTGGAGACGGGGTTTCACCATGTCCTTTTAGAAGTTTCAGGGTTGTGAATAGTGTCTAGTCAACCTTACTACCGAAACAGAAACTCAGAAGCAATTTCTGAAACTTCCGTGTTGTTGAGTTTTCACTTTCTTGTCGCAGTTCCGCCAGGCACTCACTGCCTACCATCCTGTGAGACGGTGGCTTCCCGAGCAGCCTCCAGCGCTCTGCTGTTACAGACGCCTGGGTCTGGGGGCTCCAGCCTTGCAGCCCACCTCCTCCTCCGCCAGCTCCTGCCTTCCCTCCCCATGAGTCGAACATGCTGGACTTTGGTCTAGGCCCTCCAGCCTCCGGAACTGGGAGAAATGGTGTCTGTTGTTCCGTCTTCCAGGCTTACTCTGTGGGTTTTGTTCTGGCAGCCCCAGCTGACAGAGGCAGCAGGGAAGGGACAGGTGGGCACCTGAATCAGAAGTCTGTGTAGGGAGGTGTCACAAGGAGGCAGGAAATAGATGTCTGTAGGAAGCCTTCCAGGAGATGCTGAGGGATTTGGCGACTTGTGGGGGAGAGAAGCCCAAGGGGCCTCCCAATTCTGTATCCTGGAAGATGGGAAAGACGGAGACGCCCCAAGCCAAGTGGATGCCACGGCTGAGTTGTGCCCCCTGGTTCATATGTTGGAGTCCTCAACGCAGTATCTCAGAATGGCACCTTATTTGAAGATAGGTCTTTACAGGGGTGATTAGTTCAAACATGGACCTAATGGAGTAGGGTGGGCCCTAGTCTAATCTGTGTCCTTATGCAAAGAGATGAGGACGCAGACACACACAGAGGGATGAGTACGTGAGGATATAGGGATGGCGGCATCAGTAAGCCACGGAGGGAGGCCTCAGGAGGACCCGGCCCTGAGGCACCTCGATGGCGGATTCCGGACTCCAGACTGTGAGACAATCCACTCCTGTTGCTTAAGCCACACGGTTTGTGGAGCAGCCCTAGCAAACTCACACAGCAGGGTACGGGGGGTTCCCAAATGCCTGGGAGTGCAACTCTGTGGAAAGTGTACATTTCTCTAATCACACAGAAGTTGAAACAAAAGAATCACAATGCAAACTCGTGGGAGGTGCAGATCGTATTTATTTAGAAGATCTAGCCTAGGCACTTACAAGGCGAAGCCCTGGGGAAAGAAACAGGGCCAGGTCGGAGGTAGAAGAGGAGACTGGGCGCCCCTCCTCCTCAGGAGAGGATCCTGGGGTCTCCAATAATTCCGAGTCCTCTAGGTCAACTCCAAAAGCAATCGGAGCGGTGGCAGCTCAGGCAGGATGAAGACGAAGCGGGGAGGAGCCAGGAGGTTGCGGGGACCGGGGAGAGGCGGCAGCAGGTCGGAGGATTCCAGTGTCAGCGTGTTTCCAGCAGGCTCACAGGAGGGGCCCAGGGATGTGGGATCTTGAAGCCCTGAGAAGGTTGAAGTGGTGGGGTCAGGAAAGGAAGACGGGATTCCGGGAGGGTTGATGGGCAGGACCCAGCATGCCAGAAGCCCTCATGACCTCAGAGGCTGAGCGGCTGAGTACTGAGCCCTGGACGCTAGGCTGCCTTAGTCCAGAGGAGGACAGATTCAGAGACGTGCTTCAGGAATTCAGGACACAGCTGCAATCATTCCTGGAGAGCCCGGATCTGTAGGACCCACTGAGGTTTGTGGGCAGAGCCTCAGATCTTGCACTGGCAGCAAATTGGGACACAGCAGCTGGACTGGGAGGAGCAGGGCTTGCAGCAGCTGGACTGGCAGCAGGATGACCCACAGCCTGAGGAGCAGCAGCAGGGCTTACAGCAGCTGGACTGGGAACAGCAGGGTTTGCAGCAGCTGGACTGGCAGCAGGATGACCCACAGCCTGAGGAGCAGCAGCAGGGCTTACAGCAGCTGGACTGGGAACAGCAGGGCTTACAGCAGCTGGACTGGGAGCAGCTGGGCTTGCAGCAGCTGGACTGGCAGCAGGATGACCCACAGCCTGAGGAGCAGCAGCAGGGCTTATAGCAGCTGCACTGGGAGCAGCCACAAGAACCGCAGCCCCCCTTGGAGCCCCCACGAAATCCACAGACCCCCTTGGAACCCCCACAGGAGCCACAGCTGGAGGAGCAGCAGACGGGCACACAGCAGCTGGAGCCACAGCCCCCCTTGGAGCCTCCACAGGAGCCACAGCCCCCCTTGCAGCCCCCACAAGAGCCACAGACCCCCTTGGAGCCCCCACAGGAGCCACAGCTGGAGCAGGAACAGGCTGGCACACAGCAGCACACGGGCTTGCAGCAGCAGACAGGTACACAGCAGCCGGAGCCACAGCCCCCATAGCCGGAGCCACAGCCCCCACAGCTGGAGCCACAGCCCCCACAGCTGGAGCCACAGCCTCCAGAGCAGCCAGAGCAGCCCATGGTTCTGGTGGGTTGAGGGTGGAGCAGGTAGAGGAGCAGGTGAGAGGGAGGTGTGCAGGTGTGGAGTTCTCTGAGCCCGGGCTCTTTATATTCCTGCCCAGGTGTTTATACTGAACACGTGAATACTTCTGTTGTTGTTTCTGCTATTTCACATGCACAAGTGTTATTTTTAATCTCTCCACAATCCCATGAGCCACCATCAGCTCAAGCCAAGCTGTCCTTTCCTTGGTTTCTAAATTTGGCCTCTTCCTCATAGGTGTTTCCCTTTGTTAGAAGACACTGGGCTCCCTCTCCAGTGGGTGTCCCAGGAGCCTGGGAGGCGGTGGTTGCTTGGCCGAAGGGTGGACCATTGTCCTTGGTGCTCAGGGCTCTCCTCAGCGATGCAGACCCTCCACCCCCTGGCATTGGTGTTTATATCAAGGATGGTCATTTGGTAAAAAATAAAATAAAATAAAAATTAAAAAAATAAGCTGAAAGAAAGGCTGTCTATAGGTTCCACCGCTTAAAAACTTCAAGTATAAATATTTTGTCAAATCTGTAAAACAAAGTTTTGAAGAGCATGGATTTGAGTGTGGCCCTGGTTCTCCTTTGTCTTTCTTACCTCTTCCTCCTGCGGTTTGGCTCACTCCTCCAGACACGGATTAGACCCACGTTCCCTTCAGGCAAGCTGGGCTCACAGAGGGAACAGAGGAACAGGACCCTTTCTAATGCTTTTGAGTTTTCCTCTATTAATTCTTTGTAAAAATTCTACAAATCAATGGATATTCTTCAAGTTTATTCTTCTTGAAGGCTACAAAAATTTTGATTAGCCAACCTCTCTAACACACTTTTATTTTCTAAAAGATTAATTTTAATATTTTTTTTTTGAGAAGGAGTATCGCTCTTGTCACCAGGGCTAAAGTGCAGTGACGCAATCTCGGCTCACTGCAATCTCTGCCTCCTGGGTTCAAGCAATTTTCCTGCCTCAGCCTCCCCAGTAGCTGGAATTACAGGCGCCCACCACCAGGCCTGGCTAATTTTTTTGTATTTTTAGTGAAGACAGAGTTTCACCATGTTGGGCAGGCTGGTTTCGAACTCCTGACCTCAGGTGAACCACCCGCCTCAGTCTCCCAAAGTGCTGGGATTACAGGTGTGAGCCACTGCACCCAGCCAAATTTTAATTTTTTATTAAGGTAAAATTTACATGCAGTGAAAAAAAATTTTTTTTCTGAGTCTCCCTCTGTCACCCAGGCTGGAGTGCAGTGATGCAATTTCAGCTCACTACAACCTCTGCCTCCCGAGTTCAAGCAATTCTCCTGCCTCAGCCTCCCAAGTAGCTGGGATTACAGGCACCCACCACCACACCCAGCTAATTTTGTATTTTTAGTAGAGACGGGGTTTCACTATGTTCGCCAGGCTGGTCTCGAACCCCTGACCTCAGGTGATCCACCTGCCTTGGCCTCCCAAAGTGTTGGGATTACAGGCATGAGCCACCAGGCTTGGGCTGCATTTTTTTTTTTTTTTTTTTGAGACGGGGTCGCATTCTGTCGCCCGGGCTGGAGGGCAGTGGTGTGATCCTAGCTCACTGCAGCCTTGGTCTCCTGGGCTCTGCACATATTTTGAGTGTACAATTCCATGAGTTCCGCTAAACATGTACTCGTGTGCCCATCACTCCAACCATGACCAACTGCTTCACCCCCAGAAGTTTCCCTTTCGCCGCCTTCCCTTCCTGCCCATCGCTCCAGGCACAGCTCTGCTGACCAGTTGTGCCTGTTGTTGAATGTTGCAAAAATGAAATCATTAAAAATGTACTCTGGTTTCTTTCCCTCACGATGTTATTCTGTGTGTCAATGATTTGCTCTTCTTCTTTTTTTTTTTTTTTTTTTTTTTTTGAGACAGGGTCTTGCTCTGTCACCCAGGCTGGAGTGCAGAGTGGTGCGCTCATGGCTCACTGCAGCCTCGACCTCCTGGGCTCAAGCGATCCACCTGCCCCAGCCTCCCAATGTGCTGGGATTACAGGCATGAGCCACCACGCCTGGCCTTCTTCTTCTTTTGTAATCACCGCATAGTGTTTCTGTAGCAGGGCGAGCCGCAGACAAGAACCCCTCAGACACTGAATTGTAGAAGGAAAGGGCTTTATTCAGCTGGGAGCATTGGCAGACTCAGGTCTCCAAAAACCAAGCTCCCCAAGTGAGCAATTCCTGTCCCTTTTAAGGGCTTACAACTCTAAGGGGGTCTGTGTGAGAGGGTCGTGATCGATTGAGCAAGCAGGGGGTACGTGACTGGGGGCTGCATGCACCGGCAATCAGAACGGAACAGGACAGGACAGGGATTTTCACAATGCTTTTCCATACAATGTCTGGAATCTATAGATAATATAACCGATTAGGTCAGGGGTCAATCTTTAACTACCAGGCCCAGGGTGTGGCACCGGGCTGTCTGCCTGTGGATTTAGTTTTTACTTCTTTTTTCTTTGGAGACAGAAATTGGGCATAAGAAAATATGAGGGGTGGGGCCCCCCTTATTCCATGTAAAAATATTCTCCACTGCGTTCCCCCGTTCTCACGTTCATACATATTTGAATCGTTCACAGTTTGGGGCGATGATGAATAACACATAATCATGCCTTCCAGTCCTTCCGTATTCATGTTTTTAGTTTTAATTTTTTGGTCAAATATTGAGGACTGGCCTTGCTAGACCATAGAGTAGTGTATGCTTAACTTGCTAAGAAACAGACAGCTTTCCAAATGCTCATGCTGCTTTCCCCCTCCCCAGCAATGCCTGAGAGTGTCCGCTGCCCCAGGCCTGTCAGTACCAGCCAGCGGCTTTTCAAATGTGAGGCATCGGATGGGTGTAAAATCGCATCTCGTGTGCATTTTGACCTGTGTTTCTCTGATGACTAATGTTCGCAAGGATTCTTTCTTGCACTTATTGGACATTTGCACATCTTTCTTGTTAAAAAGTTTTGCTAAAATTGTTTGCCCATTTTATTGTGATTTTTTTTTGTCTTTTTGTTATTGAGTTGTTGGAACTCTTCATAAATTCTATATCAAGAATGAATATGTGAAGTGCTTTGCCATATGTACGTATATATATTTACATATATATTTCATATACATGTGTATATGTGTGTATATAATATATATATGTAGAATATATATATTGTATATAATTTTCTAGTATTTGACTTGCCTTATTGTTATCTGAACTTTTTATATGGAAATGTTTTTGATTTTGAAGTCCACGTTAACATTTGTTTTGACAGCTAGTGCTTTCTTGTGACCTCTTTGAAAACCCTTTTTCCTAGCATTTCCTTTAGAAGCATTAGAGTTTTAGTTTCTATATTTAGTTCTATGATGGATCTCAAGCTAATTTTTGCGTGTAATGTGAGGTAGGAGTTGAGATCCATTTTTTCACATTTTCATCCAATTGTTTCAGCAGCATTTGATAAAAAGACCTTCCTGGCCAGGCGCAGTGGCTCACGCCTGGAATCCCAGCACTTTGGGAGGCCAAGGAGGGCAGATCACCTGAGGTCAGGAGTGCAAGACCAGCCTGGCCAACATGGCAAAACCCTGTCTCTACCAAAAATACAAAAATTAGCCAGACATGGTGGGGGGCGCCTGTAATCCCAGCTACTCAGGGGACTGAGGCAGGAGAATCGCTTTAACCCGGGAGGTAGAGGCTGCGGTGAGCCGAGACTGCAGCACTGCGCTCCAGCCTGGGTGACAGAGTGAGACTCTGTCTCGATATAAACAAACAAACAAACAAACAAACCGTGCTTATCCCACTGAAATCACTGGTGTTTTTAATGAGAATCAGCCGACACGATGGCGAGTTTCTTCCTGTGTCCCGCTCCGCAGGTCTGTATGCCGCTTCCTAATGCAAACACAGCGTCACTGTGACATTATGGGAGGTTTTGAAGTTAAGTATTGTGAGACTCCAACTTCATTCTTCTTTTTAAAGATTGTTTTGTTTGTTTCCAATTCCTTTACTTCTCCAGCTAAATTTTAGAACCAACTTGATCATCTCAAATACCAAAAAACCCGTTGCTGTTGCAATAGACAGCTGAGGCACGGGAAAGACCCTGGAGAGAGCCCCTGTGCCATGTGGGCAATTGGAGAAGGCTGAAGGCTGAAGCTGGAGTTCTAAGACTGGGAAATGCCTGCTCACTCCAGCCCCCACCCCCATCACCAGACTATGGAGCCCGTGGGAACAAAGGTAACTGCACCCACCAAGTCTTTGTCTTTCCTCTTTTCTTTTCTTTCTTTCTTTTTTTTTTTTTTTTGAGACGGAGTCTCGCTCTGTCACCCAGGCTGGATGCAGTGGCCCGATCTCGGCTCACTGCAAGCTCCGCCTCCCGGGTTCACGCCATTCTCCTGCCTCAGCCTCTCTGAGTAGCTGGGACTATAGGCGCCCGCCACCACGCCCTGCTAATTTTTTTTTTTTTTTTTTTGTATTTTTAGTAGAGACGGGGTTTCACCGTGGTCTCGATCTCCTGACCTCGTGATCTGCCCGCCTCGGCCTCCCAAAGTGCTGGGATTACAAGTGTGAGCCACTGCGCCCGACCTGTCTTTCCTCTTTTATAAAATGCCTGCTGATGTCTATGAGTTGGTTCCTCTGTTTAGTTGTTTTCTTTGCTTGCTAATTGGTGTGAGCTCTTTGGGTTTTCAAATGCTGAGCCACGGTCAGCTTTATTTTATTTTATTTTATTTTATTTTATTTTATTATTATTATACTTTAAGTTTTAGGGTACATGTGCACAACGGGCAGGTTTGTTACATATGTATCCATGTGCCATGTTGGTGTGCTGCTCCCATTACTCGTCATTTACTCAGCAAACTATCGTGTGGTCAGCTTTTATGTTGCAAGATCCTCCTTGGTTCATCTTTTCATTCTCGCGAGGCCTTCCCTTGTTAAATGAGAATCCTTGAGTGTTTAATTTTAACTTATCAATTCACCCACCTCTTCCTTTAGAATTAGAGTATTTGGGGCCTTATTTAGGAAATACTTCTCTGAGATCATGATATATTTTTCTGTAAAAGTTGAAAACTTTTGTCATCTGTTTTAAAATCTTGAATCAGGTATATGTGATGGTTAATTTTATGTGTCAATTTGGCTGGATCCCAGGGTGCCCGGATATTTGGCTGAATGTTATTTCTTGGTGGTCGGTGAGGGCAGTTTCTGGATGAGACCAGCATTGGGATCAGTGGACTCAGGAAAGCAGACGCCCTCCCCAATGTGGGTGGCTTCCTCTGATCCACTGAGGGCCCGAATAGATCAAAACGTGGAGGAAGTCCCTTTCTGCCTGACCGCTCCAGCTGGCACATCGGTCTCCTGCCCTCGGACTTACACTCACACCGTCAGCTCCCTGGTTCTCGGGCCTTTGGACTTGAACAGAATGACCCCGCCGGCTTTCCTAGGTCTTCAGCTTACAGACAGCAGATCATGGAGCTGCTCAGCCTCCAGAATCGCATGGGCCAATTCTTCATAATCATCTGTGTATCTGTGTATCTCTCTCTGTGTGTATGTATGTATGTATGTATCTATCTATCTATCTATCTATGTAACTATGTAGCTATGTATCTATTTATCTATGCATGTATCTATCATCTATGTATCTATATATGTATCTATCCATCTATGTATCTATCTTTGTATCTATGTATCCATGTATCTATCTGTGTATCTATGTAAGTATGTATCTATCTATGTAGCTATCTAACTATGTATCTGTCTATGTAGCTATCTATCTACCTATCATCTATTTATTTATGTATGTATCTACCTATGTATGTATCTATGTGTCTATGTATCTATCTATCATCTATGTATCTCTATATATATCCATCTATGTATCTATATGTCTATTATCTATCTTTGTATCTATCTATCCATTTATGTATCTATTATCTATGTATGTATGCATCTATCTATCTATCTAATCTACCTATGTACCTAATCTCCCACTGGTTCTGTGTCTCTGGAGAACCCTGATTAATGCAGTATAGATTTTTGTGTATTCGTGTGGAAACTGCCTTTCTCGGCATGTTTTCTTTTCCAGCCCCTCGGTCACCCAGTGTCAGTCAGGATGGCCTGGGTTGTGCTGCAGCAACAAACCACACCAAGATCTCAGTAGCTGAGTCAACCCACACCTCCCACCACCACAAGACACCTGGGGCTCTGCCTCTTATTCCATAACCCAGGCAGCCAGTTGCTGTGACAGAGGAAAAGAAAAATATACTATTCATAATAGAATTCAGCAGTATATTAAAAAGAATTTTGGCTTACAGGCATGGTGGCTCATGCCTGTAATCTCAACACTGTAAGAGGCCAAGGCGGGAGGATCACTTGAGTCCAGGATTTTGAGACCAGTCTAGGCAACTTAGGGAGACCCCATCTCTACAAAAAAAAAAAAAAAAAAGGCATACTGATGTGCACCTGTGGTCCCAGCTACTTGGGAGGCTGAGTTGGGAGGATCACTTGAGCCTGGAAGATCAAGGGGACGGTGAGCCATTATTGCACCACTGCACTCCAGCCTGGGCAACAAAGTGAGAACCTGTCTAAAAATAATAGTAAATAAATAATAAATAAAATAACTTTGCACCCTAACCAAAATATTTACAAACCACATATCTGACAAAGGACTGGAATATACAAATCTAGACCATGTAAAGAACTCTCAAAACACAACAGCAAATCATACATAAACACAAAAACAATCCGATCCAAAAATGGGCAAAAGACTTGAAGAGACAATTCTCTGAAGAGGACGTACAGTGGCAAATAAGGATGTGAGAGGAAGTTTGACATCCTCAGACTTTAGGAAAGACAAACTAACCAGTAATGCGATATCATGATGCCCCTATGAGAATGGCTTAACAAAAAAATAGCAGCGACACCAAATGCTGGCAAAAGGCAGAGAAGCTGGGCCACTCGTATGTTGATGGTGGGAATGCAAAATGGTACAGCCACTCTGGAAGATAGGTTGGCAGCTTATGAAAAAAACTAACCACACAACCGCCATTCAACACAGCAATCTCACTCCTGGGCATTTATCCCAGAGACATGTGCACACGGAAAACCTGTCCACAAATGTTAATAGGAGGCTTATTCATGATCACCAAATGCTGGAGACACCCACATGTCCCTTGATGGGTGAAGGGGAAACACACTGGTTCACCTCTGCCAGGGGACACGTCTCAGCCATGAAATGGCAGGAATGACAGACGCTCGATGACCCAGATGAATCTCCAGAGAATCATGCTGGGTAGGAAAAGCCAGTCTTAAAAGGTTACACACTGTGTGTTTCCATTCATGGAGCATTCTCGAAATGACAAAATTACAGAAATGGAGAACAGGAGGGAAATGTGGGGGCTGCATCAGGGCAACGCGTGGGGTCCTTGCTAGAGAAATGATCTGTATTGTGACCGTGCCAAGGTCAATATCACTGTGTTGTTATGTTACCTGCATTCCAGATGCTGTCACCGGGGACATGGGAAAGGGTACATGAGATCCCCTTTGTGTCTTCTTACGAGTAACTTCTTACGAGTAACTTCTTATGAGTAACTGCAGGTGAATCTACAATCACCCGAATATAAAAAGTTAAATTGAAAAAAGAGTGCATACCTCACAGATACTCAGGGAGTCATGTTTATAAAGTGTGTGGGAGAGTAGCTGGAATGCACGAGGTGCTGTCAATATCGGGTGGTGGCAGTGAAGGCGGTCATTGGATAAATCACCAATTAGGCAATTGGCGAATCAGATTCCAAATACTTTTCCAAGGTAGAACCTTGGAGATTTGCTGTTGGATTGGATGTGGAGGGTGGAAGAGGAGTCAAGAGGATGCCCAGGCTTCTATCCTGAGCCCTGGGAAGGATGGAGCTGCTGTGAACTACAATGGGGAAGGCTGGGAAGGCGTTGGTTCCAGGGGAAGGAGGAGGAGTTCAGTCTGGGATGTGCTTAGTTTGAAAGGCCAGATGTCCATGAGAAGCAGGCACCTGGGCCTGTGAGTGTGGAACCTAGAGGGGAAGGTGTTGTGAGAGACATGGAGGAGGTCGCAGGTGAGATAGAGACCCCCCGGCTGAACCTGGCACCGCCCAGTGCTCAGGGCCTGGAGGAGGAGAATTAAGCAATGGAGACTGAGGTGGAGTGGCTGGTGGCACAGAAAGGAAGCCAGGGCTCTGCACTGGGCTGGCTCTGTCCCTACATAGATAGATAGATAGATAGATAGATAGGTACATAGATACATAGATACACACATGGATACATACATGGATACATAGATACGTAGCTAGCTAGCTAGATACAGACATACATACATACACACATACATACATAGATGGATACATAGATACATAGATAGATACATACATACATAGATGGATACATAGATAGGTACTTACATACATACATAGATGGATATAGAGATACGTAGATGATCGATAGATACGTAAATAGATACATAGATACATACGTACATGCATACATAGATGGATACATAGATACATAGATAGGTACTTACATACTTACATAGATGGATACAGAGATACCTAGATGATCGATAGATACATAGATAAATAGATACATAGATAGATACATAGATGATTCTGAAGAATTGGACCCTGCAATTATGGAAGTTGAGCAACTCCACAATCTGCTGTCTGTAAGCTGAAGGTGTCCCCTGCTTGTTTCCAGACTGAGTCTGGTTCCCCGATCACTCTGACCAGAGATTCATGCTAAGATGCTCCCTCGGTGACCACTCCACAACCAGCCAACATCTCTAGGCTCCATACAGGGTCTCCCTGTGCTCATTGTAAATCATCAGGCCTTCAAAATATTCACTAGTGGCAGTGGTGCATGCCTGTAGTACCAGCTACTCGAGAGACTGAGGCAGGAGGATCCCTTGAGCCCAGGAGTTCGAGACCAGCCTGGGCAACACAGTGAGACTCTATCTCTATTAAAAACAAGAAGAGGAAGGTAAAAAAGAAAATAATCACAAACAAGTAAACAAGCTGACAATGTCATTTATTTATTTATTTTTTATTTATTTGAGACAGGGTCTCACTCTGTCACCCAGGCTGGAGTGTAGCAGTGCAATCATAACTCACTGTAGCCTCAACCTCCCAGGCTCAAGAGATTCTTCCACCTTAGCCTCCCCATTAGCTGGGACTGCAGGTGTGCACCACCATGCCCAGCTAATTCTTTCATTTTTCTGCAGAGACGGGGTCTTGCTATGTCACCCAGGTTGGTCTTGAACTCCTGAGCTAAAGTGTTCCTTCTTCCTTAACCTCCCAAAGTACTGGGATTACAGGAGTGAGCCAAGCCCAAGCTGACTACTTCTTTTTTTTTTGAGACAGAGTCTTGCTCTGTCACCCAGGCTGGAGTGCAGTGGCACCATCTCGGCTCACTGCAAGCTCCGCCTCCTGGGTTAACACCATTCTCCTGCCTCAGCCTCCCGAGTAGCTGGGACTACAGGCGCCCACCACCACATCTGGCTAATTTTTTCTTTTTTTGTATTTTTAGCACAGATGGGGCCAAGCTGACCACTTCCAAAAGTGTTCTCCACTCAAGCAGCTCGTTTACTTAACAATATCACTTATTCCCACACACCCCCTCCCAAATGTCTTTCATGTCTTTGCAGAACCAGCTCTCTTAAATACATTTTCCACAGTCATATTTACGATGCAGATTTTAAGTAAAATTGCAATGCTTGCAAGAAAAGAAACGTAGGATTCTGTGATGTCACTGAAAGTGACATTGGAGAACATCTGCTGGGAGCCAGGCAAGGCCACCACGGTGAAGATCAGGCGGTTCACCCTGAAAGAGAAGCTGGTCAAGGAGGCAAGATAGAGGCTTCCCAATGGGGTGAGTTGACCTCAAAGAGAGGCGTCCGTGAAGGATGAGAAGGAGCTCAGTTGTTTTTGCTACGCGACTCCCTTCAGCGTCATTCTGTCACGGCCAACTGTGAAATGAAGGATGTTGCAGCAGGCAATCCTATGATTTTATCAAAAAATTATGCATAAAATGTCCAACACGTGATTTTCTCTTTGTTGATTTCATGGAGAGTTACAACTATGTCTTAAATCTTGCTAACAATCATGTGACATCTGTTCATTATTAAGGAAGGTTTTGGGTTTCTTTCTCTTTCTCTTCTACCCCCACACCACAAGCACAGACAGCATTGGTTCTGTTGGGCCTGTTTCCAACGAATGGCTGGCGGCAGGCTCTTCTCTGGTGCCCATTACCGTGGTAGTGAGGCCATCTTTGATCTGCAGGTCACTGGGTCCTGCCTGGGCCAAACACCTCCCCCTCTTCCCTGCAGAAACCTCTTCATCACACAGCAGGACATGAATTTACCCACAGGAGCCACAGGCCAAGCAAAGAGAACGCCAAGTGAGCCATGGGGGGAGAAGTTTCCGGCGTCTTCTTCCGGACCCACTGACCCCACAGCAGCCCCTCCTGCCCCACTGGCCAGGCTGGAGGCAGCTACCAACTCCCTACCTCAGTGTGGTCTGTTCTCATGGAACCTCATCAAAGTGTACCCTTAAAAAGGGTTCCTTTTAGCCGAGCACGGTGGCTCATGCCTGTAATCCCAGGACTTTGGGAGGCTGAGGCAGGCGGATCATGAGGTCAGAAGATCGAGACCATCCTGGCTAACACGGTGAAACCTCATCTCTACTAAAAATACAGAAAAAAAAAATTAGCCAGTCGTGGTGGTGGGCGCCTGTAGTCCCAGCTACTTGGGAGGCTGAGGTAGGAGAATGGTGTGAACCTGGGAGGCAGAGCTTGCAGTGAGCCGAGATCGTGCCACTACACTCCAGCCTGGGCAACAGAGTGAGACTCCGTCTCAAATAAAAAAAAGAAAAAAAAAAAATTCCTTTCATTTGAGCTTCAATTGTTCTTTGCTGCTCAAAAGCCTTCTAAGTCTTACCATTTACCAGGCAGAACTGAGAACTCTGTAGCTCCCCAGGTTTCTCCAGGCTTTCTAGAACTTTCCTCCTGGCTGGCAAATCAGCCGGTTCTTTCGAGCTCACCCTGTTCTTGTAATGCTTTGATAAATGCAGCCACAACGACCCACGTGGGAGTGGCATTGTGTTTTCTGAACTCTTCCCTCAGGGATACACGATCTGGGACAGTCTTACCAAACACATAATAACTACCTTTCTCACCTCTAATAACTTTCCTTTCCACCCACCCTCTGACCAATAAACCAGGCCCACAATGCTATGTTTTTGTTCTGGTAGGTTTCTGGGTCAACCAGGATAGACCAATTACGCTGCTCACACGCGCCACCCCCACGTTTCAGTGACTTCACACGACACAGGCTTACTTCCTGTTCATATCCCAGGCCACTGCACGTCAGCTGGTGACTCTGCTCTGTGCTTCGTCACTCTGGGACTCAGTCGGAAGCAGCAGCCACTGCTTGGAATGTTGGTGGTCATGGTAGGAGAAGAAACGGAGAATGCAGAAGACTGCAGCAGGTGCTTCAAACTTCTTCCCACTGACGCAAGCAAATCACATGGCCACACCTGACTTAGAGAGGGCTCATGGAAGGGCCACCCTACCACCTGCCATCCAACCTGTTCCCAGAAGGAGAGGAGAACCAGGATGCCTACAAATAGCCCTAATTACCACCCCATTCTGGGCTCTGTGTGGCAATGCTGCCAGTCCTATAGATAGGTTTTTGCCTAAATGAGCTTAAGCTTTTTTTTTTTTTTTACTCCAACATATGCATTTAAGGCTATAAATTTTTCTCTAAGCACTGATTTGGCTGCATGCAGTAAATTTGATAGCCCCATTATTTCATTAGGGGTTACAAAATGGTTAGCTTCTAATTCTACGATTTCTTCTTTATTTATAAACTGGAATACTTCCTCTAATTTTTTGGTTACCGTAAGATAGAGTTTCTCTATCAGAGATAGAATAAGTGCCTGATTATTTTCCTTTATATAGTCATCTTCGAAATAATGACTTGATTCCTAGAATCCTCTAAAGGCAACTAAATTTTACAGTTTGCATAGTATCTCTATTATTATTTGTGTATGTATGTGTGTGCGTATGATTACTCACTCCTAGTTTAAACATATTTGATGTGTATCAGTCCAGTTAAGAAATTGGTGTTCAGATTGTTTCAAGTCTGTCTATACAGAGTTTCTCCAGGTTTGACTCTTACCTTTTTTTTTTTCTTTTTTTGAGACGGACGAGAGGCAGCGGAGACAGCCAGCCCCATCCTAGCACCTTCCAGCAACATCACCATCAGACTCACGGAGTCCGAAATATAACAAGAATAAGAAAACAATAGCCATAGCCATAGTAATGACACCGAACAACAGAGAAATCAGCAAGATATGTGTTTCAGTTTGTCGGCATGGTATTTTTATTAGTTTGCAACTTTCTGTTTAAGATAAAGCAGTGTGATCCTGGTTAACATGGTGAAACCCTGTCTCTACTAATAATAATAAAAAAAAAATTAGCCGGGCGTGGTGGCGGGCACCTGTAGTCCCAGCTACTGGGGAGGCTGAGGCAGGAGAATGGAGTGAACCCGGGAGGCGGAGCTTGCAGTGAGCCGAGATGGTGCCACTGCACTCCAGCCTGGGTGACAGTGCGAGACTCCATCTCAAAAAAAAAAAAAAAAAAAAAAAGATACAGCAGAGTGTTGGACATGCAAAGCCACTCCAAGGAAGCCTCTTAAACGCCCACCTTGTTGCAGGTGGGACGCTTATGCCCAGCTGCTCCAGCTGGAAAAGACAGGACTGCAAGTGGGTTCAGGAGCTCAGGCCTCTGAAAAGATGAGCAAAGGCGAGGCTAGTGGGTGAGGGGTGATTCAGCTGCAATTGCAGTTGACTTGGGGAGAGAATTTGTTAGGAGAGACAATGGACATTAATTAGGGTGGACTCTTCTTAGGAAAAGGCAGCCAGATATGGCATCGTTCTACAGCAGGGAATGGACCCTGAGCAATGATTTGGGGCTCAACAATGAAGGACAGGTCACAGCTTTGGAAGACAGGATTAGCAGGACTCACATGAGGCCTGAGTCCAGAGCCTCAGATCTTACACTGGCAGCACACAGGGACACAGCAACTAGACTGGGAGCAGCAGGGATTGCAGCAACTGGACTGGCAGCAGGATGACCCACAACCTGAGGAGGAGCAGCAGGGCTTACAGCAGCTGGACTGGCAGCAGTAGGGCTTGCAGCAGCTGGACTGGCAGCAGGATGACCCACAACCTGAGGAGGAGCAGCAGGGCTTACAGCAGCTGGACTGGCAGCAGGATGACCCACAGCCTGAAGAGAAGCAGCAGGGCTTACAGCAGCTGCACTGGGAGCAGCCACAAGAGCCACAGCCTCCTTTGGAGCCCCCACAGGAGCCACAGCCCCCCTTGGAACCCCCACAGGAGCCACAGCCCCCCTTGGAGCCCCCACAGGAGCCACAGCCCCCCTTGGAACCCCCACAGGAGACACAGCCCCCCTTGGAACCCCCACAAGAGCCATAGCCCCCCTTGGAGCCCCCACAGGAGCCACAGCTGGAGCAGGAACAGGCTGGCACACAGCAGCACACAGGTTTGCAGCAGCAGATGGGCACACAGCAGCTGGAGCCACAGCCCCCACAGCCGGAGCCACAGCCCCCACAGCCGGAGCCACAGCCCCCACAGCCAGAGCCACAGCCCCCACAGCCGGAGCCACAGCCCCCACAGCCGGAGCCACAGCCTCCAGAGCAGCCACAGCAGCCCATGGTTCTGGTGGATTGAGGGTGGAGCAGGTAGAGGAGCAGATGAGATGGAGGTGCAGGTGTGGAGCCCCCTGAGCCTGGACCCCCTTATATCCCTGGGTAGGGTTGCTCTGAGACCTTGGTCACTCCATCATTCCCAGCACTTCCTGGGTATGTGATTATTTGTTTGCTGGACTTCGGGTTCTCATTGGCCTGATCCAACACCCACCTGCTTATGTTTCTAAATGTAGTCACTTCCTCCTTGGAACTGGACCTTGTACTGAACTGATCACCTGCCTTCTGTTTTCCTCATGTGATGGGCAGAGGATGGGTTTTCTACAAAGATCATTTTGGTTGTTTTCTTCCCATCTTTTCTTCCCACCTATGGCATTATATTTTTCTTTGAAACTGTGAACTTTGTGTGAAGATAATTTTTTAAAAACTAAGCTTTCATCCATATAATTAAAGAGGCTAATTGAGGAACCAACGTTGTATCTTGGTTCTGTCTTAACACATTGGTGCACTGCAGTGAATCTCTCCTCCGCCAGCCTCAGGTCGTGGGGTGCTCAGGACTCCTGGCTGCTGCATACACAGCCTCACGTGGTGAGTATTGTTTATGTTAAAAATCTCAGGAATTTCATGGGTGGATGGGGGATCTCATTTATCATCCTGTTGTTAATCTCTTCAATTAACTATTAGTGAGGGTGATTCTTTTACTCCAATATAAATTATATACTTTTTTATTGGCCAGGCACAGTGGCTCACACCTATAATCCCAGCACTTTGGGAGACCAAGGTGGGCGAATCACGAGGTCAGGAGATCGAGAACATCCTGGCTAACATGGTGAAACCCCGTCTCTACTAAAAGTACAAAAAGTTAGCCGGGCGTGGTGGCGGGCGCCTGTAGTTCCAGCTACTCAGGAGGCTGAGGCAGGAGAATGGTGTGAACCTGGGAGGTGGAGCTTGCAGTGAGCCGAGATCATGCCACTGCACTCCAGCCTGGGCGACAGAGCAAGACTCCGTCTCAAAAAAAAAAAAAAAAAATTTATACCTTTTTGACTTCTCATTACTGCTTTAAAAGTTATTTGGATATTGAGAGAACAAATCCCTTGTGTTCAAACAGTGTACTTTGTTTTTCCACAGGCATGTACTTGAGTTTAATTTCTGACGTTTTTAAAAGCCATTCTCACTTTGTCTTAATTGTCATTTTTAGCCTCGCCAACATTATTAGATGGTATAAAAATGAATGTCTTTCAGCCGGGCGCGCTGGCTCACGCCTGTCATCCCAGCACTTTGGGAGGCCCAGGCGGGCGGATCACGAGGTCAGGAGATCGAGACCATCCTGGCTAACATGGTGAAACCCCGTCTCTACTAAAAATACAAAAAAAAATTAGCCGGGCGTGGTGGCAGACGCCTGTAGTCCCAGCTCCTTGGGAGGCTGAGGCAGGAGAATGGCGTGAACCCGGCAGGCGGAGCTTGCAGTGAGCCGAGATCGTGCCACTGCACTCCAGCCTGGGCGACAGAGCAAGACTCCATCTCAAAAAAAAAAAAAAGAAAAAAAAAAAAAAGAATGTCTTTCAAGCTTGGGATAAAGGCCTTGTCTTATCTGGAAGAGGCGAGAGAGGGGTTATAGGTTCCGTCGTTCCCATTGCTAATGGGAGCTGTGGGGCAGGGGACTGAGAGAAACCCACAGAGAGGGAAGTGCCTGCTGTGCTGAAAATGGCTTCTTCCTAGGGAACACACTGGGTCAGAGGATGCAGCCCTGTGTGGCAACAGTTCACGCCTCCCGACTAGGCGCGGTGAGGCTGGGATGGGGACACTTCATAAGACCTGGATTGTGAGCACAGAGCCCAGGCATCCTAACAAAGCTGTCCCCCACCAGCCCTGCGCGAGGCCGCACTGGACATGAGCAGACCATCACGCACCCCAGGTGCTCACCAGAGCTTGGCAGCTCCGCCCTCAGGTGCTGGGTAAAGGGAACCAGGAGCATCCCATTTTGTTTCAACATAGGTAGAAGATCTAGACAGGATTGGCCAAACCCAAGAGAGGTAACATGAGATTCTGTAACAGCTATGAAAACAAACCTTAAAAAACAAAAGGAGGAGGAAAGGAAGGAGACAAACCTTTCTAAGCAAACTTGTCATCCGGGAGACAAAAGTAGATTTCCTGCAAATGGTTGAGTTATGCAACAAATAATAACAAATATGGCAGCAAATTACAAATATGGCATACTAACTTTAATAGGGCTCTCAGTTGAGATGGTAAAATTATAGAGTAAGTTTTATTTTGTTTATTTGTTTATTTTTTGAGACGGAGTTTTGCTCTTTCACCCAGGCTGGAGTGCAATGATGTGATCTCAGCTCACTGCAAACTCTGCCTCCCAGGTTCAACTGATTCTCCTGCCTCAGCCTCTGAAGTAGCTGAGATTACAGGCACGTGCCACCACACCCCACTAATTTTTGTTTTTTTTAGTAGAGACAGGGTTTCACCATGTTGGCCAGGCTGTTCTCAAACTCCTGAGCTCAAGTGATCCGCCCACCTTGGCCTCCCAAAGTGCTGGGATTACAGGCGTGAGCCTCTGCGTCTGGCCTATAGAGTAAGTTTTAAAAGGAAGAGCGGAGGCCTCAGGGAATAAATGAGCACCAGAAGTCATTACAGTTCGAGTCGGTGATTAGGAAGAGTGAGGGGCAGAACGGAGGTGGCTGGGACTTGGGTCGCTGGCATCCGAGAAGGGCGCGAGATGCTCACAGTGTGGCTAAAGCACAAAGCCGTGGAATCAGCCAGAGAGAGGCTGGCGAACGGGGAGGACAGGAAAGCTGCAGCATCGGTGTAAGCAGTGGAGGCTTTAACAAATGGAGCAGAAAGCAGATTCAAAGGCCAGAAAAATGCACCATGACCCGCAGGAAGATCTGAAAGTTTAGCCCCAAAGAGCGTAACATGCTCCAGGAAAGAATGAAGGCGGAATGCTGAGTACTGAGCCCGTGGTGGTTTGGTGACAGAACTCCAAAGGCTGAATCAACATTGCCGCTTCTGCAAATCCCTGGCCAGTCTGCCGTGGCTGTCAGGGCTGAGGAGGGTGCTCATAGCTAGCTGCTCCTAGATGCTCCTCGGAGAGGTCATAAACCCAAAGATAGGGGATCAATTTCTCCAAAAAGGACAAAACCAAAACATGACCCAAGAACATGGTGACAAAACGTCCTTCAAATAGAAGAAAACAGGAACACAGCCTCCAAAATGGCAGAAATCTAAGACGACAGCACCTGGGACTCGGGAAAATCATATGGACCCTACACAATTGGGATTCATTCCAATTAAAGGAGTGAGGCAGGGATAGGCAAGGCAGGAAGGGCTGAGGACAGTAGAATGAAGACCAACATTGAGTAATTAACTACACGGGCGATGGTGAGTTACGGAGCCCACCTGCATTCCCAGAGAGAAAAATTAACCTGATGACATCTCTGCTCTCCACCTCCTCAGGCCCCTTCCACAACCTCCAGGTGGGTGGGGGTTAGAGCCATGGAAGGACCCGGTGACCTAGGGCAGGGGTCCCCAACCCTCAGGCCACAGTCCATGGCCTGTTAGGAACCAGGCCACACAGCAGGAGGTGAGTGGAAGGCGTGCAAGCATGACCTCCTGAGCTGCACCTCCCGTCCCTTCAGCCGCCACATTCGATTCTCATAGGAGCCAGAACCCTACTGTCAAGTGCGCACGCGAGGGATCTAGGGTGCGTGCTCCTTACGAGAATCTAACTAATCCCTAATGATCTGAGATGGAAGAGTTTCATCCTGAAACCAGCCCCCACCCACCCCCTGGGTCCGTGGAAAAATTTTCCTCTACAAAACCGGTTCCTCGTGCCAAAAGAAGGTGGTGGTTGCTGCCCTCGGGTGCTCTTGAAAATGGCCCTGCATTGTGGCTGGGCTGCTGTCTCCCTGGTGGGCGGCGATCCTGGCCCCTCACCACACCCGTGGGCCAGCACTGTCTCTACCATCTCGTGGGTGCTACTGTTTCCATACTTTTCTTATTTTTATATTTTCCTTTTCGTAGGCTTTTAGATTCTCTTTTCTTGCTTCTATGGACTTGCTGAAGCTTCTTTCTTCCTTTCTCCTCTTTTTCTGCTGGTTTGCACTGATGTTTTTGTTTCTACTTTTCCCCAGTGGTGACTGTGAACATTTTAACATGCATGTTTAACGC
Organism: Homo sapiens; assembly: GCF_000001405.40. Classification (NCBI taxonomy): domain Eukaryota; kingdom Metazoa; phylum Chordata; class Mammalia; order Primates; family Hominidae; genus Homo; species Homo sapiens. The sequence goes on from NT_187584.1 coordinate 108,498, forward strand.
AGTCTGAGATCAGCCACTATCTTCCCCTGGCCCCTCACAGAGGCAGGTGCTCCCCTCAGACTAGCATCTCCTGTGTCAACCTGAGTGCCGTCCAGTGTTTCAGATCCGCCTCCTTCCTGTACCCCCAGCGAGTCATGAGCATCCTACCCTTCATTTCTTCTTTATATACAGCACATTTACCTTCACGAGAACCTCATACTTCCTTCCGGAAATTATCAATTTGAAGAAGACACTTCTGTCCCTCAGCTCATGGTCAGGCACGCCATAGCTAATTGTTACACCTGCTGAGGTGGACGTGTGAATTCTCTCCCTCAAGGCACTTTTGTAATGAGTTACAATGATACATTTCCTGACGGTGAGCCATCTTAACATTCTTGGAACAAACCCTACTTATGACTTGCTATTTTTAAATAATCATATTGGAGTCTTTAATATTTGATTCAGAAATTGTGTGTATTTGTTAATAACGAAATGAAGTTAAAATTTTCTTGTGTTTTACTGGCCTTACCTTTTTCTTTTTTCTTTTTTTTCTTTTTTGAGACAGAGTCAAGCTCTGTCACCCAGGCTGGAGTGCAGTGGTGCAATCATAGCTCCCTGCAGCCTCGACCTCCTGGGCTCAAGAAATCCTCCCACCTCAGCCTCCCGAGTAGCTGGGACTACAGGTGTGCGCTCACAGGCCCAGCTAATTTTTGTACATTTTTGTAGAGATGAGATATCACTATGTTACCCAGACTGGTCTCAAACTCCTGGGCTCAAGTGATCCTCCCACCTCAGCCTCCCAAAATGCTGGGATTGCAGATGTGAGCACCCACACACAGCCCTTTTCATTCTTCTCTGTCAGGCCCCAAATGTTCCTGGGTGGTTCTGGCTGGGGGTCTGAGGCTGCATCCCCTGAAGGCTCGGCTGGTATTGGACCCACTTCCAGGATGGTACATGCCTTGGCTTGTGGGTGGGAGGCCTCAGCTTCTCACCTGCAGGCCTCTCCACAGGGCTGCTATTGGCACAGGATCTGGCTTCACCCAGAAGGAGTAGTACTGAGAGAGAGAGAGAGAGAGAGACAGAGAGACAGAGAGAGACAGAGAGAGAGGCAAGTGTTGTACCACCCTTCATGTCCTAGCCTCCAAGCCCCGTGCCATCATGCTGTCTGCCGTCTTCGTCGCGAGAAACATACTGTGCTGCTGGCCTTCTCCTTGTTGCTTCTTCTGCAAGTCCTTCTGCTGGAGCCTTCTCTGCTGTGCGGCATCAGCCAGCACTTTACTATCCCAGGAAAAACCGCCCCTGAGCCTTCCTCTCATCTGAGTGTGGTTTCAGGTGGTGGAGGAGTGAAAATCTGTGGGGTCAGCCTAGCTCGTTTTAGGAGGAGAAATCCTTCCAGCTCTCTCTTACCTGGTGCCCCCTTTTCTGTTGGGTTCTTGATCTGGAGCCTACAGATACAGGTGGACATCAGATCCTGTCTGGATACTGCACAGTTTTATGTAAAGTTGTGTGTTTTTGTGCATGTTTGTAGACTTGTTTAAAGAGAGGCTCTGTAAAATTCCACAGAGGAATCTACGAACCCACAGTAGTTAAGAATGGGTCTGCAGAGGTAGTTCCTAATGTGGAGCACAGGAGCAAAGTCTACAACATACTCATGTCTGCTTTACGCTGAAAAGGTGAAAAAAATTAAAATTAACTAAAATTAAAATAGCAAATGACTAGACAGGAGCATATGCACCTTATATAATACACACATTTCAGGGGGCATTTGCTCAAAAGCTACATAATCGTGGGGTGCCCCACGGGACAGGGTGAGACCACTGCCATGTTGATTGTTCCATCAGAGCATTGTAAGAGGCCCTCTGATGATCCTCTTTGCCCAATTCAGCGAACCCGAAGGTCATCAATGGACCACGAAGAACAAAGGCCCATGAAAGGGAAGATGTTCCCAAAGTACAAAAGGAAAAGTCCTCTTGTACCCGAGGGAAGGAGCTGATCCAAGGGTGTCACTAGGAGTCAGCGCGGGTGTTGATACATTACTTCAGGGGCTGGAGGCAAATATACGAGGTACTGGAAGCAAATGTATCAAGCACTGGGACAAATGTATCAGGCGCTGGATGCAAATGTATCAGGCACTGGATGCGAATGTATCAGGCGCTGGATGCGAATGTATCAGGCGCTGGATGCGAATGTATCAGGCGCTGGATGCGAACGTATCAGGCGCTGGATGCGAATGTATCAGGCGCTGGATGCGAATGTATCAGGAAGCAAATGTATCTGTTGCCTCTGTTCCAGAGCTGGAGGATGCCGCCTCTGGTGGGGACAGCCAACACAAGGCGGCTCTCTCCTAATGGGTTTTCTGTTCCTCCCTGAGATACAGTCCCCTGCCCCAGAACAGAGTGGGGCTCCAGCATACACGGCAAGAGTCACCGAGTGCCAGCTGGTGTTTACACCGTGGCCTGAGGCCTGTTGACTGGGCTCGGGGCACTCACAGGTATTGTGGTCACGGGGGCAAATGGCCATCCGGTTCCCTGCTCTCCACCGGCTTTCTTTAGCATCCAGTGGGCCTGCACCCGAATGTAGTTGCTGCTTCCCAGGCTGAGCCCGGGACCCGGAGCAGGCGGGCACCCAGACAGGGCATCCTCTTCCGCTCACTGGCCCTGAAAGGGCCTCTGCCATCAGCCTGTGCCGCTGTCCGGGAGCCCCTGGGCCGGCCACGCAGTGGGGGAACCCGCTTCACAGCGACACCGTGCGGCGGCAGGAGGAACCGCTGCAGGAGACAATGCGATCTGGGTCCTGACCCAGCGCAGAGGCAGTGTCTGCCCCTTGCAATGCTTGGATTTCCTTCCTCAAAAGGCAGCCTTCGATGATCTGAAATTCAAGTTCCAGCAGGCATCCTGTACTGTATCTGTCAGCCCTGCCACCCGAGTGGTCTGAAAGCCCTGGAAGAGACCGCGGTTATCACAGGAGAACACTTTCCATGGGGAGCACGCAGCAAGCTCCAGAATAAGCGCTTAAAATCCCCGTCTCAGTCAACACTGCAAACCTTCCAACAAAGTCTTACACCGAAAACGACCCTGCTGAGCTGAGGGCTGAAGCCCCAGGTCCTGGGACCCTTGGAAACAGCCCGCGGGCCAGGAGCTGCTGTGGACCGTGAAGGTGTAGGGCCTAGGCACGTCCCAAGCAAGACACGATGCTCCCGCAGAGGAATCTTCCCGGGAGCAAGCCAGGAGTCCTGGGCTCAAAATCACCCTCGGCAAGACCAAGGCCTCTGAGCGAGCCACTGCCTGCCCATCGCTTCCTTCTTGTCACATGGAAAGGGAAACTCACCGCGGGGCCAGTGTTTACTGAGGGGCCGCTTCCATCACAGACCTGACAGCACATTCGAGAAAAGTGCGAGGAAAACAGGAGTTATTTATAAAAATGTAAAGCAGAAGAGAATACTGGGACCAGTGGCACAAGCAGGAACCAGGAAGTGACAGTGTGCCCAGCCTCTCACCTGACCCTGGACAGGGATATAAAGAGCCCGGGCTCAGGGGGCTCCACACCTGCACCTCCCTCTCACCTGCTCCTCTACCTGCTCCACCCTCAATCCACCAGAACCATGGGCTGCTGTGGCTGCTCCGGAGGCTGTGGCTCCGGCTGTGGAGGCCGTGGCTCCGGCTGTGGGGGCTGTGGCTCCGGCTGTGGAGGCTGTGGCTCTGGCTGTGGGGGCTGTGGCTCCGGCTGTGGAGGCTGTGGGGGCTGTGGCTCCGGCTGTGCGGGCTGTGGGGGATGTGGCTCCGGCTGCTGTGTGCCTGTCTGCTGCTGCAAGCCCATGTGCTGCTGTGTGCCAGCTTGTTCCTGCTCCAGCTGTGGCAAAGGGGGCTGTGGCTCTTGCGGGGGCTCCAAGAGAGGCTGTGTCTCCTGTGGGGTGTCCAAGGGGGCCTGTGGCTCCTGTGGGGGGTCCAAGGGGGGCTGTGGCTCCTGTGGGGGGTCCAAGGGGGGCTGTGGCTCCTGTGGGGGGTCCAAGGGGGGCTGTGGCTCCTGTGGGGGGTCCAAGGGGGGCTGTGGTTCTTATGGCTGCTCCCAGTCCAGCTGCTGCAAGCCCTGCTGCTGCTCCTCAGGCTGTGGGTCATCCTGCTGCCAGTCCAGCTGCTGTAAGCCTTACTGCTGCCAGTCCAGCTGCTGTAAGCCCTACTGCTGCCAGTCCAGCTGCTGTAAGCCCTGTAGCTGCTTCTCAGGCTGTGGATCATCCTGCTGCCAATCCAGCTGCTACAAGCCCTGCTGCTGCCAGTCCAGCTGCTGTGTCCCCGTGTGCTGCCAGTGTAAGATCTGAGGCTCTGACTGCAGACTGCAGGTGGCCTGACTGGTGAAGGGCCCGGCTGCCCAGCTTCCTTGCCCTGGGTTCTCTGGTGCTCCACTGTCTCCACTGTGTCCTCACTGGCTTCATCCACTCCACACCAGTGCTCCCGAAACTGACTGAGGACCCCTTCTGGCTCATTGCCTACTACTTCTCCTGAACTTCCTCTCCCTGCTCCTCACTCATTTAAGATCCAAAGCGGCCCACTGAGGCCCCAGAGGCAGATCAGACCCCTTAGACCCTGACAGCTGCTCCTTCTTTCAGGAGTGTGATCGACCCTCAATCTCTCTGGCTGTCTGTATATCAAGACTGAATCCTGACCCTCTAAATAAACAAAGTCTCTAAGCACAAAGCTCACTGTCTTGTGGTTCTCTCCTTCCCACCTCTCTCTCATTCCCAGAAGCACCATCTTCTTGCCTCCACCCCTGGGCCTGTTCCCATTTCTCTCCCCTCAGCATCTTTCATGTCATGGTCCATGTCTTCATGCACAGAACTAACGTCTATAGCTTTCTGCTCTGGGCCCCTTGTTGTGTTGGGCTCCAGAGATGACAGAGCAGAGTAAATCCAAGCTCACAGTCTGGTATGTGGGGAGAGGTGGGGAGAGGGAAAGGTGGTGAGGGCGGTGGTGTCAGCCGTGGAGGCACTGCCGTCCCGTGGGAGGGAGGGAAGCTCAGGGCCAGGCCACTTCAGCGGAAGGATGAGGAAGGGTCTGTATGCTGAGCTGTGCGGTACATCAGGCCCTAAGAAGCCCCTAGTGCATGCAGGAGCCAGACGTGGAGATGCGGAGGAGCTTGGGCTTATCTGCAATCTCACAGGGCCTTGAAAAACCAGACAGGAGAAGGCAGGACTGCACACAACGCCAGCTGCGGGACACAAGCTCGAAGGCAGCCGGGAGTTGAATAGATCCCCACCTCCAAAAAAAAATTCCAGAGCTGGGGGAGCCCAAATGCCCAGTGCCTTCTAAGGCAACCTAGCCTGGAGACAAGCTTTCTTTCAGCTTTTATTTTGGGTTCAGGGCTGCATGTGCAGGCTTGCCATATAGATGAATTGCATGTCATGGGGGTTTGGTGTATAGATTATTTCATCAACCAGGTAATGAGCATAGTACCCAATAGGTGACTTTTTGATCCTCACCCTCCTCCTGCCCCCGCCACCCCCGCCAAATGCACCACAGTGCTGTTGTTCCCTTGTGTTCCTATGTACTCAGTGCTCAGGTCTGACTCATAAGTGGGAACACGCGATATTTGGTTTTCTGTTCCTGCATTAGTTTGTGAAGGATATTGACCTCCAGCTCCATTCATGTCCCTGCAAAGGACATGATCTCATTCTTTTTGATGGCTGCACAGTATTCCATGGTGTATAAGTACCACATTTTCTTTATCCAGTCTGTCATTGATGGACATTAGGACGTTACGTGAAGATGAAGGTAGAGGTTGGGGTGATGCTTCTATAAGTCACAGAGGACCAAGGGTTGCCAGCAAGACCCAGAAGCTAGAAGAGACCAGAACAGAGGCTCTGTTGCAGCCCCAGAAGGAACCAGCCCTGCCCACCCCTGCATCTCAGACTTCTGGCCCCCAGGATTGGGAGAGGGATGTTTCTGTCATTTGTGGTCCTTTGTTAGGGCTGCCCCAGGAAGCGAGTACAAGCGGTGGCTCAGTCAGAGCAGGAAAAGCAGTCATTCAGGGTATTTTCTGTCGGGGGGATCTAGAGTGGAAATCAGAAGCTTATGTTCTCGATGGCAGCTCTGGGACCTGGACTTCCTGGAAGGACTCCAGCTGTCCACAGCAGGGGCCCCTGGAGACCTCAGGTTTCCAAGCTGTCCTGGAACCCTGAGCTCCAGTGCACCTGCCATGTGGTCCAGGGACAGGGAGCCACCTCACCGCCACCTCTGCCACAGCCACCTCAGGGCGTCCACAGGCTGGTGACAGCACTGGGGTGTGCGTCTACCCAAGCCTTTCTCTGGGGAAGCAGGTGACCAGCTGCAGCGGAAGCCACAGGTGCACAGCTCGCCCTCATGCGCAGCAGCACTTGAGCCCTGGCATGGGCCTCTGCCTGCCTTCCCTTCCAGACCTGGGGAAAGGCATTCGATTGGCAGGACCTCATTCTCACCCTGGCCTTGGAATTGACATTTTTATCTTCTAGCTCATGCAGTGTAGACAGGACCGGAGGAGGGGGTGGAGACTCTGTGGGTGGGGCTCGCCTACTTCCTGCCTTTTCCCCCCTCAATTATCCCCCCACTAAGGCTTCTGTAGCCCTGTTACTGTACCCAGGGAGGGTGTCCAGGATCTTGGCTTCTCAAACAAAGAATTGGACAAAACGCACAAATAAAGCGAGGAGAGCAAAAGCTGGGATTTATTGAGAAGGAAAGTGCACTCCACAGTGTGGGAGCAGCCGAGCGGAATTCATTGCAAAGGAGAAAGAATGTTGTGGAAGTGAGGTGCAGAACAGACAGGATGCCCTGGGCGAGACAGGGTGCAGGGCGGGCTGCTCACAAGGATGAGAAGCAGAGACCGGCCTGAGGGAGGCTCCCTTTATGGGACTCTTCCATGATTATTCCTAAGGAGCTGGGAAGAGGTGTTGCTAGGAAGCATGTTCTGGGTGGTCCTCTGGGTGCATGTGTGCAGTAGCTGTACACGCTTGTTCATACCATTCATGTCTCATTAGCATCTTAAATCTCCACCCAGAGATGTGCTTTATACTATTATAAGGGCCCCGTTAAAGAGTTTTTGTGAGTTTAAATACCCTGTACTGGAGGTCCGCCCTATGTAAATGAAGAGAATGAAGTTACAAAGTCATTTGTTCGCTGTGTGCCCATGGGGAGGACATGTCCTGTCATAGCTGAAGTGCGAATCCGCCTTATGTTCCCTGCCTCCAGACCGTATTTTCCTGCCTCAGTCCCAGAGCCTGCTGCATGGGCATGCAGCTCCCACAAACACACAAGTTCCCACACTTAGAAGGCTTCATGCCTTGCTGTCACTGTCTTGAAATTCTCTGCTGGGCGTGGTGGCTCATGCCTGTAATCCCAGCACTTTGGGAGGCCGAGGTGGGTGAATCGCCTGAGGTCAGGAGTCTGAAACCAGTCTGGGCAACATGGTGAAACCCCATCTCTACTAAAATACAAAAAAATTAGCTGGGCGAGGTGGCGGGCGCCTGTGGTCCCAGCTACTCAGGAGGCTGAGGCAGGAGAATTGCTTGAACCCGGGAGGCAGAGGTTGCAGTGAGCAGAGATGGTGCCACTGCGCGCCAGCCTGGGCGACAGAGTGAGACTCCGTCTCCAAAAAAAAAAAGAAAAAAAAGAGAAATTCTAAATAACTTTGTTTATCAGCTTGGGCTTTGGGGGCAAATCTGGTGGGACAGGGGAGTGTGCACACGACAGGGGTTGCACCAGGGGCAGTGTGCACGCGTGTGCATGCAGGGCCCTGGGCACGGTGGGCAGCACAGACCTGGCTGCGTGGTGTGTATCTGAGGGCAGTCCAGGGCACCAGGGGGAGGCTGGGCTGGAACCGGGGCCCAGGAAGGAGTTGGCAGCGGTAGAAGGGCAGTCATGGCAGCTGCGGCTCACGGGGAGGAGAGACCCTGCGCATGTCAGCAGCAGCCCAGGGTGGGCAGCTGGCTGGTCTGTCTGTCCCCAGAGCTTGGTTCCCCAGCACCTGCTAAATATGTGCTTCCCAGTCCAGGGCTAGGAAAGGAGCTGCCAAGCTCAGGCGGTACACAGTAAATTGTTACAGAATGAAACTGTGTATATGGACGTTAGCATAGAGCAAACCAGGGGGTTATTAGAATTCCTCAAACACTTTTGAACCTTTAGATTTGGAAAACGGCTGCAACATTGCAAAGCAAACATCCACAAGACAAACTTAGAAATTAAATGTAAAGGAAATGGCTGGGCACAGTGGCTCTTGCCTGTAACCCCAGCACTTTGGGAGGCTGAGGCAGGAGGATCACTTGAGCCCAGGAGTTGGAGACCAGCCTGGGCAACATAGTGAGACCTGGTCTCCATGAAAAATAAAAATAAATTAGCCGGGCCCGGTGGTGTGCACCTGTAGTCCCAGCTACTTGGGAGGCTGAGGAGGGAAGATTGCTTGAGCCCAGGAAGCTGAGGCTGCAGTGAGCCATGATTGTACCCCTGCACTCTAGCCTGGGCAACCAAGTAAGACCCTGCCTCAAAAACCAAAAAGTAAAGAACATTGTAGTTGATGGAAAAGAATACTATTTTCAAATAAAGCTTCAGGTGAACTGATGATTAAAGGGTAAGACAGGGCAGGCACAGTGGCTCATGCCTGTAATCCCAGCACTTTGGGAGGCCAAGGCAAGCGGATCATCTGAGGTCAGGAGTTTGAGACCAGCCTGGCTAACATGGCGAAACCCCATCTCTACTAAAAATACAAAAATTAGCTGAGTGTGGTGGCGCACGCCTGTAGTCCTAGCTACTCAGGAGGCTGAGGCAGGAGAATTGCTTGAATCAGGGAGGGTGAGGTTGCAATGATGCCCACGGTGATGGATTAGAGGTGGAGATCTCATTAGGAACTCACGCTCAGCTTCGTACAGACACAGATGGTCACACACAAACACCTGCAGATGTGTGCAGACGTGGTTAGGATGCACACGTATGTCCTGTTGCTCTGTCAGTGGAGAGTGTTGACAGCTGTTGTGAGACCTCGGTTCTTGTCTTCTTAGTTTAAAATAATTTAAACAAGACACACAGGAGATGCAGCACAGAGGAATTCATTGCAAAGGAGAAAGAATGTTGTGGAAGTGAGGTGCAGAACAGACAGGATGCCCTGGGCGAGACAGGGTGCAGGGCGGGCTGCTCACAAGGATGAGAAGCAGAGACCGGCCTGAGGGAGGCTCCCTTTATGGGACTCTTCCATGATTATTCCTAAGGAGCTGGGAAGAGGTGTTGCTAGGAAGCATGTTCTGGGTGGTCCTCTGGGTGCATGTGTGCAGTAGCTGTACACGCTTGTTCATACCATTCATGTCTCATTAGCATCTTAAATCTCCACCCAGGGATGTGCTTTATACTATTATAAGGAGCAAAGGGTCAGAGTGAGGACAGGTAAAATCAAAATGTGCATGCTCTCTACGGGGGAAATTCCCTCCTGAGATAGCTTTGTTCGAATGAGCTCAATGACAACATGAATGGGGAGGCTTGTTGCCTTGGCCCAGTGGTCACTACGGTTGCTGCGAGGAGATGGCCACTTCCTTGACAACCTCTCCTGCCTCAAGAGGGCCCCAAACCTATGGCACCCCACAGCAGCAGGAGGTTGAATACCAGGCTCCAACCCAAGGACCAGGGACCCTTGGAGACATGGCAACTTCTAGGACTGAGGCAAAAAAGATAAAGGTGAGTCTGGAGCATCTTGTAGCTCCAGAAAAAAAAAATCTAAAAGAAAACAAAGCAAAGCCCCGATACATGCAGTGATGGAAAGTATCAGAAGCACGTTGTAGGGACACGTGAGCCAAAAGAAAGCGCTCCTGGGGGTTACAAATAGAACAATTCGATCAACACAATAAATAGAGAGAGTAGCATTGACTCTAACCCGAACTGTAAAATAGATATCCATGAACATGACTGATAGAAATAAGTGATTTAGTAAATAAATAAAGGAGGATCACTTGAACTCGGGAGGCAGAGGTTACAGTGAGCCGAGATCGCACCACTGCACTCTAGCCTGGGCAATAGAGCGAGACTCCGTCTCCAAAAGAAGTAAATAAATAAAAGTAAATAAATAAATGGGAGTGGATAGGCAAGTCCCCCATGCAGAAGAGTTCCCACTAATTCTGTGTAGCCCTCACCCCTTAAGTGCAGGCAGCACTGGGACCTCCTTCTGAGAATGCAGCACGGGACAGGGGAATTCAGGAGCATCTTTCCGTGGGGAATCCTGAAAGACACAAACACAGCCAGGAGACGGGGGCAGCATAGCCCGCGAGGCACGACGAGCCATGCCAACAGGACAGGCCCTCAGCATGGGGTGACGAGAAGGGCATCTCCCTCTGTGCTCTTCCTTCCCACATCCACAGCCCCGTCTAATCGTGAAAACACCAGACAGATCCTAATAAGGGACACCCTACAAACACCTGAGCAGTCCTCTGAACCCTCCAGGTCACCACCAACAAGGAGAGCCTGGGAAACGGTCACCGCCCAGAGGAGCCCAGGGAGACGGACAAGGGAATGTCACGTGGGACCCTGGGTGGGGCCCTGGGACAGAAACGGACCAGCACGTAAATGCTAATGAGAGAAGAACAAAGTGTGGACTTTAGTTAATAATAATGTATCAATATTGGTTCTCTATTTTATTTTATTTTAATTTTTTTTTTGAGATGGAGTCTCGCTCTGTCACCCAGGCTAGAGTACAGTGGCGTGATCTCGGCTCACTGCAACATCTGTCTCTCAGGTTCAAGCAGTTCTCCTCCTTCAGCCTGCTGCATAGTTGGGATTACAGGGGTCCACCACCACGCCTGGCTAATTTTTGTATTTTTAGTAGAGACGGGGTTTTGCCATGTTGGCCAGGCTGGTCTCGAACTCTTGACCTCAAGTGATCCGCCTGCTTCAGCCTCCCAAAGTGCTGGGATAACAGGCGTGAGCCACCGTACTTGGTCATTATTTAGTTTTTAGTTTAGTTTAGTTTAGTTTTTTCTTCAGACAGAGTCTTGTTCTGTGGCCCAGGCAGGAGTGCAGTGGTATGATCTCAGTTCACTGCAACCTCCACCTCTTGGGTTCAAGCGATTCTCCTGCCTTAGCCTCCTGAGTAGCTGGGATTACAGGCGCCAGCCACGACGTCCAGCTAATTTTTGTATTTTAGTAGAGACAGGGTTTCACCATGTTGGCCAGGCTGGTCTCCAACTCCTGACCTCAAGTGATCCTTCCGCCTCAGGCTCCCAAAGTGCTGGGATTACAGGTGTGAGCTACCACGCCTGGCCCAATATTGGTTCTCTAATTGTAAGAAACATACCATACTGAAGTAAGATACTAATAATGGGGGAAGCTGGGTGTAAGGTGTATGGAAACTTGCTTTGCAATTTTTCTGTAAATCTAAAACAATTCCAAAAATAAAGCTTATTAAAAAATAATTTAGACTCCCATGAAACTGATTTCTTTGAAGAATTAATTTTTTTAAAAAAAATTTCTCCACAAGAATCACCAGGTCTACATGCGCTGACATTTATCATTTAAAACAATTTATCAGAAACTAATCCTAATGTTGTCACAGCCTGTAAGATACCTTTACTGCTCCAATAACAGCTGTATCAGCACAAAGATTCTTCTCAAAGGTCATCAAAAATTATTTGAGATCTTGCATTTGCCAAAAAAGACTGAAATAACTTTCAGTTATGTCAAAACCGAAAATGAAATTTCTGAAGTATCCATTTTGATGATCTAATAAATGAATTTGCAGAAAAAATTGGAAAAATCATAAACATCCTATTAATAAAATATTATTTATTATATAAAATTCTGAATCCAAAAATTATTGTTTTGTAGTTTGTAAATTGGTGTTGTTACTTGGCACCACTATCACCCCTATTTATTGTGTAAGTGATAAAATCATTCCTAAAGGGGAAAGCTTTCACTGTGGTTTTTTGCTGCTTTTTTTTTGTCCCAAGACAGAGTCTTGCTATTTCCCCCAGGCTGGAGTGCACTGGCACAATCTTGGCTCACGGCAACTTCCACCTCCTAGGTTCAAGCAATTCTCCTGCCTCAGTGTCCGGAATAGCTGGGATTACAGGCACACGCCACCACCCCTGATTAATTTTTGTATTTTTGGTAGAGACAGGGTTTCACCATTTTGGCTAGGCTGGTCTCGAACTCCTGACCTCGTGATCTGCCCACCTCAGCCTCCTAAAGTGCTGGGGTTACAGGTGTGAGCCACCACACCCAGCCTTTTGCTACCTTTTGAACCAGGAGTCCCACCATTTCTGTGTCTGGCCTATCTCTCTCCCTCTCCAGGGCCCAGCTCCTCGGACCCCTCCCGGGTCCTCACCTGACCCTGCCACACTCTCGCCCCCGACCCTGGGCTGGGCTCCACCACAGGCTGCTGACAAATAAACAAGAGATTGGCAAATCAGACCCAGCATCAGATTTGCACAATGATGCATCGTGGCAACGAAGGGTTGACATCAAGAAAGCAAATGTGCCTGATATTGTAAATAATACCAGACATAAATGAGGCTGCATGTGGTGGCTCATGCTTGTAATCCCAGCACTTTGGGAGGCTGAGGCAGGTGGATCACCTGAAGTCAAGAGTTCAAGACAAGCCTGGCCAACATTGCAAAACCCTGTCTCTACTAAAAATACAAAAATTAGCCAGGCGTGGTGGCAGGTGCTTGTAATCCCAGCTATTCGGCAGGCTGAGGCAGGAGAACTGCTTGAACCCAGGAGGCAGAGGTTGCAGTGAGCCCAGATCACGCCATAGCACTCTAGCTTGGGCGTCTCAAGAAAAACAACAACAAAAAACCAAACCAACAATAAAACACTCACCGTAGTAATGACAGACACGGGGGAAAACATCATCTGTTTTCTCCATGTTGCGGAAAAGGTATTAATAAACCATCAATGCCTGATACAGTAACAATAGAACGGCGACAGATGGAGAAGCCCTTCATACAGTATAAACACAGGCACGCCCATAATTAGGTTTTCCTGCAAATGTGCACGTTCATATCTAAAGCGAAATCACATCTCTATTCGGCACCATGCCAGGGGCGGAAGGCGCCTGCTCTCTAAGACAATGGTTTTATAGTAACGATTGCAGCCTCCACCCAGAGAGCTTCAGGGGCCTGAGCTAGGGGCTGTGCTGAGGAGGGGGCTCCGGTCACCTGCGGTGTCTCCCCCACCCCTCCCAACGCCCAATCTCCTCCAGCTAGGCCTCCCTCTCGGACCCCGGGCCTTGCTTGAACCAAATGGTTCGACCTCTGCCTCTTCCTAAGGCTCATTCCTGAGCTGGGAAGAGAAAGTGAGGAAATTCCTTGCAGAAAAGGAGAAATCAGTCATCACCTTGTGTGTTGTGTGTGAGGCTCTCCCAGCCCGTGGAGGCGGGACCTTTTATTCCCTCGATTTGAAAGGCACCAAACGCAGATTCTCTGCATGTCCAAACTTTTTTACAAATGGAAGAAGAATGCATAAGAGCGTAAAGCATAGCTTGCACCCCAATACACTTTTGGCTTCTTGGGTTTGGGCCGTCTCGATCTGAGCTTGCACCCTGCTCTTCATTTCCTTCTTTTCCCCAAGCTGGGGGGCACCAGGCTGCAGCCGTGGTCATCGTCCCAGTGTGAACCCCCGAGGCCTGCACAGCTGCAACCATTTTCTTTGTACTTAAACACAAACGTTTATGTTCGCCAGCGCCCGTGTAAACTAGCAGCTCCCTCTTTCCGTCTCCTTGCTTGCGTTCCTTCGACGTGTCACCTCACAGACGCCCCTTCACTGTGTCACCTCACAGACACCCCTTTGCTGTGTCCATCCCTCCCCAGAAGGTTGGAGCCCTGAGAACAGGTGTACCTGGTTTTGGTCATTGTTCTACCCTCTGGTTCAATGACAGTGCCAGGCACATAGTGCACACACAGTAAATATTTGCCAAATACGTGCAGGGCTCCAAGCCATCCTGAGCAGCTCTGGGCAGAGGGGCTGAAAGTCTCACCTTTCCCTCCCGGGTTTCAGGGAAGAGCCCAGTCTGGGAAGACAGGAAGCCGGCTTGACTCAGCAGGGCCGCCAGGGGGCACTGTGGCAAGACGGCGGGAGAGCCGTGTGCCCAGGGTTGCAGGTTCTGGAGCCCAGAGGTGGCCCAAGGCGCCAGGTGTCTGGCAAACTCCAACCGCGGATGCAGGCGACAGCCCCAGTCTCCAAAGATTGAGTGGCTGCCACTGGCTTTAGGATAAAAATGAAGCGGGACCCTTAAAAACACCCAAACATGGTAGAAATACGTGAACTGGACGGGATGCACGTTGCGTTTTGCATTTTGCTTTATAGCCTGCAGCAGAGCAATGCAGAGGGCTCCAGGCTCAAACAGGCTCCGTCCTGGTGTGTTTGGAACTCGGGGAGCAGAGGAGGGCTGCAGGGGGAAGAGGGCATCGGGAGAAACTCTTAAAGGGAGGGTCTTCCCGTGCTGTGCACAGCCCTTAGTCCTGTGCCAGCGGTGGGCAGCTTTCATCTCGCATGGAGCCCCCCCCGGCCCTAGCTCCCCTGCAGTGCCCAGTGCAGCCCTGGCATCCCGCCGGGCTCCCCCACCGGCCCGGGCCACTTCCATCTTCCCACAGGAGTGGGAGCCTCAGGGAAGGGGCTTCTCGGAACTTCGCCCACTGTCGTCCCTCTCGCTGGACCTGCAGCTTGGGCCCTGCGTGTCTTCTTATCCAGAGCTATTTCTTAGTTCCTCAGCCCTCTGCTTGTGGTTAATAATGTTTCTATTTCCTGAAACTTTTCTTTAATGGATTGATTGAGGCCTGTAGCCATCTCATTTTCCTGGGGAGTTGGTCACGCGTGGGGGAGTCCCAGACACGTGGAAAGTGGCTGTAGTAACTCCTGCCGGTACCTGGGGAAGTGGGGAAGAACTGCCATGCTCAGAACCGTCCCTGGCCACTCCCGAGCACCCTCAGCCTTCACCTGCCTCTTGACCCTGGCGTCTCTGTCCAGCCAGAGCCCCAGGAGCTGCCTGTGGTTGAAAGGTTGGGCTACGACTCACCACGTGGCCACACACACCACGGGCACCGCGGGGTCGCAGGAGGAGCGTCAGGAAGACCCTCTGTAGGACTGGGCTGTGGCTGGGTGGTTGGGGGTCACCCCGGGTTGGAGGCTGTCAGAAAGCTGGAGCCCGCATGACCAGCTGGCAAAAGTCTGACCCCAGGCAAGGCCCAGCTCCTGTTAGCAGAGAGAAGGGGAGGTTTGGCATTTCATGGCTGGCACCGGGATCTTGATTTGTCCGTGTTTAGATGAAATTATGAAAGGGCCTCGTTCTGTCTCATCTCATCCCAGCCTTGAAGTTGTCTGAACTTGTTTTCAGCTGGAATGCAGGCAAACAAACCACTTCCAGCCCAGACCACCTCCACTCCCAGACCACCTCCACCCGAGACCACCCCACCCCATACCACCTCCAACACCAGACCACCTCCACTTGAGACCACCTCCAACCTCAGACCATCACACCCCAGACCACCTCCACCCCAGACCACCTCCACCCCAGACCACCCTACCCCAGACCACCTCCACCCCAGACTACCTTCACCCCAGACAACCTCACCCCCAGGCCACCGCACCCCAGACCACTTGCACCCGAGACCACCCCACCTCAGGCCACCTCCACCGCAGATGTCCTCCACCCCTAGATCACCCATCCCCAGACCACCCCCACCCTCAGACCATCCCACCCCAGACCACTTCCACCCCAGACCACTCCACCCCAGACCATCTCCACCCCAGACCACCTCCACCCGAGACCACCTCCACCCCATACCATCTCCAACACCAGACCACCTCCAACCAAACCACCTCCACCCCAGCCCATCCCACCCCAGACCACTCCACCCCAAACCACCTCCACCCGAGACCACCCCACCCCATACCATCTCCAACACCAGACCACCTCCAACCTCAGACCATCCCACCCCAGACCACCTCCAACCAAACCACCTCCACCCCAGCCCATCCCACCCAAGACCACTCCACCCCAGACCACCCCACCCCAAACCACCTCCACCCCAGACCACCTCCAACCAAACCACCTCCACCCCAGCCCATCCCACCCCAGACCACCTCCACCCCAGACCACCTCCACCCCAGACCACCCTTACCTGATGGAGGTTTTGGGGCTCTGGAAAGCTGCCTTCAAAGTTCTCTCCAGCCTGGGCCCCCTGGCCCGCCCCCTCCACTGGCGTTTACCCACTGCTGCCTCTCGCTCCCCACCGGGACCGAGGACCTGGCCTCCGCTCCGCAGCTGGGGAGGGGTCTTCCTTAGGGCACTGGCAGGAGGCCCGGGGTCTGTCCTGGCTCTTCCCTGGTTGTTCCTCATGGATCAGATAATTCTCTCCTGCTTCTTCCCCGACACGAAGCAATAGGCTCATATCCAGCAGCTCAGAGGCACGGTGGGGGGTAGGGGGTTGAGGGGTGTCTCGCACCCCTGGGCCCAGGTTTCAGAGAGGCAGAATCTGCCACTGCGGCTGTGCCCACGTCCACCCTGACCCCGACCCTGACCCTGGGCATGAACCGGCAGCAACTCGCTCTCAGGAGGGTGGGGACCGCCGGGACGGACCTGTTCCCTCCTTCCCTCCCTCCCAGGGGAGCTGAGGCAGCACCCTGGACCCCCGAGCTGGGGGTCGGCAGCGCCGTGACCCCATCTGCCCCATTTACCATGGGCTGCAAGATGGGGCTCCTCCTGGGGTCCTCCACGTGTGTTTCTGGGGCAGCACATCACCGGAGTCCAGGACAGGCTGGGGAGGCACCAGTAGCCCCAGCACCCTTGCTGCAGGCAGGGCAACCGCTGAGACTCCAGGGGCTGCACCACTGCCCTGTGGCCGGGCCCCTCCCCTCCTTCTCCAGGTCCCTCCAAAAGTGCTGGGGATGGGCACGGGGGAAGTGACAGGACTCCTGGCTCTCCCTTCAGTGGCTGAGGACCCCCAGTGCCCACAGGTTCAGAGAGGGAGGTCTGGCGGGCGCTGCGGGGCAGCCCCGACCTGGCACCCAGGAGAGGAGCCCCTTCCGCGTTTCGACGCTCCCACCCACAGCACAGAGAGACCCGCCCCAGCGCTGGACATTGGGGTGGTCAGTGTGTCCGGCCGCAGGCACAGCTGCACTGGTGGCTGCTCCTCTGTCCTGTTTTCCTGCCCATGTGACCTGGAGCCGCTGTGCCAGGCCTTCCACCACCAGGTTGGGGAAACAGCAGCAGAAAGAACCCCCGAGATGCCCGACAAGCAGAGGGGACTCCTGAGGATCAGGGAACTGCCAGGGCTGCGAGCTCTCCCAGTTGGGGGGGATCCTCACCCACAATTCAGCTCCTGTCTCCCGGCACCCCCAACCACCTTCACATTGTCACCAGCAGGGGCCTGATACCCAGGTGGGAGGTTCACCCCAGAGGCTGCAGTCTCTGGCAAGACGGGGTGGGGTGCATGTGGGCGGCAAGCCGCCCAGGTGCCGAGGCAAGAGACCGAGGGCACGAGCTCTTCCAGTGTAATGAAGAAAATATATACAATAAGAATAGTTATACTAGATATAGATCATAGATATGATTATATACGAACATTATTAATCATTAGTTTGTAGCAATTACTCTTTATTCCAATATTATAATAATCCTCACTGTATAATCATAACCTAGGAAAAACCAGGCCATACAGAGATAGGAGCTGAGGGGACATAGTGAGGGGTGACCAGAAGACAAGAGTGCGAGCCTTCTGTTATGCCCAGACAGGGCCACCCGAGGGCTCTTTGGTCTAGAGGTAACGCCAGCGCCTGGGAAGACGCCTGTTACCTAGCGGACTGTGGTCTGGCGGTAACTTCAGTGCCTAGAAAAGGCACCCGTTACTTAGCAGACCGGGAAAGGGAGTCTCCCTTGCCCCGGGGGAGTTTGGAGAAGACTCTGCTCCTCCACCTCTTGTGGAGGGCCTGACATGAGTCAGGCTCGCCCGCAGTTATCCGGAGGCCTAACCGTCTCCCTGTGATGCTGTGCTTCAGCGGTCACGCTCCTAGTCCTCCTTCAGGTTCCATCCTGTACACCTGGCTCTGCCTTCTAGATAGCAGTAGCAAATCAGTGAAAGTACTAAAAGTCTCTGATATGCAGAAATAATGGCGTAAGCTGTCTCCTCTCTCTCCGCCTCGGCTGCCAGGCAGGGAAGGGCCGCCTGTCCAGCGGATGCGTGACCCACGTGACCTTACCTATCATTGCAGACGGCTCACACTCCTTACCCTGCCCGCTTGTCTTGTATCCAATAAATAACAGCACAGCCTGGCATTTGGGGCCACTACCTGTCCCTGCGTCTTGGTGGTAGTGGTCCCCCGGGCTCAGCTGTCTTTTCTTTTATCTCTTTGTCTTGTGTCTTTATTTCTATGATCTCTCGTCTCCACACATGGGGAGAAAAACCCACAGACCCTCTAGGGCTGGTCCCTACAGGTGCAAAAGGTGTAGGACTCTCCCCTTCCCCAGAGTCACAGGGAACCCCGGGGCGCTGCTTTGTTGCATGAGCATTGTCCAGAGGGGTGTGGGGGTAGGAGTGAGACATGACGGAGCCCGGCCCAGCTCGGCGACAGGGTGGTGAGGTCCAGGGTGCCAAGGTTTTAAGGCACCCACCCTGAAACCGAGGCTCTGGGACCCATTCACCATGATGTGAGTGACCCTCAGGGATAGCAGAGTGTGGGGTGGACCCGGGCGGAATGAGGCAGGTGCTCCAGGGACCCCCATAGGACACCTGGACACCTGTGTCTCCCCACATGCGCCAGCTTCAGTGCCTGGGAGGGGACACCCCTGGCTGCCACGGGGAATCCACTAGGAGGCTGTGGTGTAGAGAAAATGATACCCCTCCCTGCTCCATCTCTCTGGCCAGCGCTTCTGCAGAGCAGCAGAGGGGCTGGGGTCTCTGGGCACGGCCATGCAGAGTGGGCTCCACCAACACCTCCGGCTTCTGCTGGAGGCTTCCTCCCCTTGGCCCGTCGCTCACCCCTTTCCTGAGTGACACAGCAGGACAGGGGGTGGTGGGCCAGTAGGGAAGGCTGCAGGCAGGAACGCCCACGGAGCAGTCCCCGGGCTCTCTGTTACCTCCACCACCCACCCTGGCCTAGGGCCTGAGGACTGCTGGGCTTCCTCCTGCCTGGGGGTTTCCGGTGGTCAAGTCCACTGTGCCCAGCCGTCCAGAAAACAGGAGCCACCTGCCCGTGTAACACGGTGGGGCTTTTAATCCACAGGAGCCTCAACACCTGTGCTCCTGGGACTTCCTCTTTTAGGGGGAACATGTGGAACCTTGGTCCCTTCAGGAGGGGCAGTCCCCACCCGCCAGTCGCCCAGGGCATCACCCTCTGAGCCCCTCTCAGTCCCCAGTGTCTGAGGGTGCCAAGGGCCTGCGGTTCCTGTCTCAGGCAGTTCAGCACTGCTGACTCCTCTGGAAAGAGCTCCCCTGACCGTGGGCTTCCATAACCAGCCGAGGTCTGCATCGTCAGTGCGGGCACCTGGTCCAAACCCGTTATTCTAAATTTGACAAGAGAACAGGGGCCACTGGCCTGCTTTTCACTGGTGAGCTGTGTTTCCTGGACCCATTATTGATGCTGGGGTCTAATGACATTTTCTAAACTCTTACAGCTTGTATTAAAATATCGAAACCTGAGTCCCTTGATATTGAGGAAAGTGGTCAGTTAGTCAAGCCATAGAGTTGGACAGTAGATGCTTGCCCGTCATCACCAAGATTGTTCATTGATTTTGAAGCAATACTTCAGGATTGACAAATGATAGCAGCCTGAAATACTGTGTGCGCCTGTGAGTATAATGAACATTCGGTGAGTGTGTCAATGGTAACATCTCCTCCCTACAAAAGATCATAGTTTCTCAGGTGAGGTGGCTCACGCCTGTAATCCCAGCACTTTGGGAGGCCGAGGCAGGCAGATCACCTGAGGTCAGGAGTTTCAGACCAGCACCAACATGGTGAAACCCCATCTCTAATAAAAATACAAAAATTAGCTGGGCATGGTGGCAGGCACCCGTAATCCCAGCTACTCGGGAGGCTGAGGCAGGAGAATCCCTTGAACCTGGAAGGTGGAGGTTGCAGTGAGCCAAGATCACACCACTGCACTCCAGGCTGGGAGACAAGAGTGAGACTTGGTCTCAAAAAAAAAAAAAAAAAAGAAAGATCCTAATTTCTTATCACTTTCTAAAAGGTGGGCGATGGATTTCAAGATGAGCTGTTCTCAACACTCCTTCTCCTTCTGGAAATCCTTCAGTCAGCCCACCTTGGCCTCTGAGCTGCCTGGCTGCGGAAGGAGGCTGAGAGATGTCACCAGAGGATGCATTTCAGCACCGTTTGCACTAAGATGTAAAGACCAAAACACTTTTCACTAAAGTGACTTTTGGAACTTTAGATGACATTATATTTAAACTTTGTATCTTAGAGGTATTTGTTTTAAGCAGAAATATTTACAATCTAGCTCATCCTGAGAACCAGCCTCTCCACAGCACCGCTTTCCAATGCGACCACCTTTCCAGAGAGGGGCCCACCTGTGGGTTGTGGAAAGTTCTTTGCATTTTCTTTTTTCTTTTCTTTTCTTTTTTTTTTGAGACGGAGTCTCGCTCTGTGGCCCAGGCTGGAGTGCAGCGGTGTGATCTCGGCTCACTGCAACCTCCGCCTCCCGGGTTCAAGCGATTCTCCTGCCTCAGCCTCCTGAGTAGCTGGGATTACAGGCGAGCGCCACCACACGTGAATAATTTTTGTATTTTTAGTAGAGACAGGGTTTCACCATGTTGGCCAGGATGGTCTCAGTCTCCTGACCTCATGATCCGCCTGCCTCGGCCTCCCAAAGTGCTGGGATTACAGGTGTGACCCACTGCACCCAGCCGGTTCTTTGCATTTTCTAGGACGCAGAGCAGACCTGTGTGCTGAGACCTGGCACGGATGGGAGCCCTCTTGGCACAAGAAGATTGACAGCTGTGGTAGAAGGTGCTGTTTCTTGCCAGGAGGGCGTAACATAGAGCCATTTCTGATTATCTTTTACCAACTCTCACTCCTAATGAGAACTATTTCTCATACCTAAAAGCAAGTTTTACTGCCTCTATGGTGAAAATAGTCTAGTTTAATAATGTTTTCTCTTGGGACAATGATGCTTTGTAAATGGAAATAACACAGATTCTGTACTTTGCCCCATCTTGTTTTTCTTTCTTTCTTTCTTTCTTTTTAGGCAGTGAGACAGACTTTATTCAGGGGGACTACAGCAATGAGGTTTTGCGGCAGGGAAAGAGGTTGCAGCTTTTGGGTTTGCTTCATGCCTTGGACACACAGTAACTTGGAATTCTTGCACTTACAATTTTTTGAATTATGAAAGTAATACATGTTAGTGGCTAAACAAGAAAGGAAGGCACGGCCGGGCGCGGTGGCTCACGCCTGTCATCCCAGCACTTTGGGAGGCCGAGGCGGGCGGATCACGAGGTCAGGAGATTGAGACCACGGCGAAACCCCGTCTCTACTAAAAATACAAAAAAATTAGGTGGGCGTGGTGGCGGGCGCCTGCAATCCCAGCTACTCTGGAGGCTGAGGCAGGAGAATCGCGTGAACCCAGGAGGCGGAGCTTGCAGTGAGCCGAGATGGCCCCACTGCACACCAGCCTGGGCGACAGAGCAAGACTCCGTCTCAAAAAAAAAAAAAAAAAAAAAAAAAAAAAGAAAAGAAAAGAAAAGAAAGAAAAGAAAAGAAAAGAAAAGAAAAGAAAAGAAAAGAAAGGAAAGCACGAAGGAAAATAGCAAAGGGTCCCGGTGTTGCACACACACAAAGCAGCAGCAGCCGCTGGAGGTCTTCCGTGTTTGGTAAAGGTGGCTACGGACTCCCGCATGGAGACGCGGCCTGGAGGGTGTCACTGCTCTAGGCTGTCTGCAGGGCCTCTCCGCAGACCTGGACGGATTTCAGTGGGAGACTAGAGCGTCACTTAAGATGTTTGAATGTAAAAGCATCCTGAATGATCATCTTTTAGCTTGAGATTTTGGCTACCTTTCAAACAGACATAGTTTGACCTTTGCAGTCCTAGGTAATGCAGGAATGGCAAATGCTCCTGAAGGCGGGGAGGCGGCCCGGCCCGCACTGAGCTTCTCACCGGCCAGAGGGCGCAGCCACCCGGCCTTCCCGAAGCAGGACAGCGGCCTTTCCAAGACCGCGGAGTCCCCGTGAGGGATGGTGCCTCCGGAGCCTGGCATCTCGGGCGGATGAGAAGCTGAGCGCGGTCAGATGGCCCGCAGGGTCCCACTGCGGGCCGAGCCCTGGCTGGGGGACAGTTTGGGGGGAAGCAGCAGCTGCCTCAGTTTACAGTGGCAGCCGGAGGAGGACCTGGGCAGTGGCGAGTGTGGCTGTTTGCATGGCGGGGAGAAAGAGGTGGTCCCTCCTGCCTGCTGCTGATGCCCACGGCCTCCTGTCCCCAGGAAAGGGGTCTGCGCCCCTCCCCCACCGGAACAGCGACAGAAGAGGCGACCCTCTCAAAGGCCCTTCTGCTGCTCACCGCGGGGTGAGTGATGGTGTGGAGCAGGATCTGGGTCCAAGGTCTTCTTCCACGTTCAGGGTTCCCGTGGTAACTGAAGAATTATCCATCCAGAGAGGCAGGGGAGGGCCTGGGACAGGGATATATCTTATTATTGATAAGTACAATTTTAAATTTTAAATTATCAGCAGGACCGTAGGAGATGACATAAAGAGGAAAAATAACCTGTGTGGCGCTCTCAGCATAAAGCGCCCAGGTTCAGGGATGCGTGTGCGTCCTGCTGTCTGCTCATTCGAAGAGCAAAGGAAGCAGGGATGATTTAGGGCCTCCGAGGTGACACGGAATCGGGAGGAATGGCGCCACGAGAAAGACGTCTTTCTCATTTTGTGAGCAGAGAGCCCATCGTTCAGGAAGAGCATCTGAGCCACAAAGCTAATCACAGATCACCGAGCCAGCGCCGGCTCCTGATTTGTCTGTGTGGCTCCAGGTGGCAGGTGCTCCACGGCACTCAGTAAAAGGTGCATATGGTGAGGGGTGCAGGCAGTGGCCAAACAAGGGCTTCCCTGGATCCTGGAGTGGCTCCTTCCAGCCACAGCCAAGGCTGCTGGAGGGAAGACCAGGCCGAGGGCACGTCTTGCGTGCTCTCACTCACAAGCACACACCTGTATTTACCATGTTATGTACACCCACAGAATCATCTTTAAGATCTTGTTAATATTAATATATAAATTGAAGGTCGGAGGCAGTGGCTCAAGTCTGTAATCCCAGCAGTCTGGGAGGCCAAGGCTGGTGGATCACTTGAGGTCAGGAGTTCAAGACCAGCCTGGCCAACATGGTGAAACCCTGTCTGTACTAAAAACACAAAAATTAGCCGGGTGCACTGGCACATGCCTGTAATCCCAGCTTCTCAGGAGGCTGAGGCAGGAGAATCGCTTGAACCTGGGAGTGGAGGTTGCAGTGAGCCAAGATTGCACCACTGCACTCTAGCCTGAGTGACAGAGCGAGACTCCATCTCAAAAAAAAATTAATATATAAATTAATATGAGTAACATATACACATACATTAATAAAAATATACAAAATAATACATATAGTATATAATAATATATGCTAAGTATAGGAAATATGAATAATATAAATAAAAAGATTATGAATTATGCATTAAATATTAAATAATATTAATATGAATATAAATATTTATTATATCTATCTATCTGTATGTACCTATATAGACACAGACAGATATCTATCTCTATAGCTAGATATTTCTATCTCTGTACACACTCATCTATATCCACATGCATGTATATGTAAAAAGAGAGAGAGAGCAGAGACATAGAGAGATTTATTTCAAAGGATTATCCCGTGCTATTGTAGAGGTTGGCAACTCCAAAACTCACAGGGCAGGCAGGAGGCTGGTCATTCCCACAGGAACTGCTGTTGCAGTCTACAGCCTGAAGGGAGAATTCCTTCCTTCTTGTGGGAACTCAGTCTTTTCCTTTTAAGACCTTCACCTGATTGGGTGAGGCCCACCTGCCTTCCTCTGACTGGATGAGGCCCACCCACATTGTCAGAGGGACATCTGTTTCACTCAAAGCCTACTGATCTAAAATGACTTTGATTAAATGACCTTCACAGCAACATTCAGACTGGCGTTTGGCCAAACAGCCTGGCACTGTGGCCCAACCTAGGTGACGTGAAGCTCATGACCTCCCTGTGCCTGCAGGGCGCTGTGGCACTCCATCCCTCTTCTGTGTCAAAGAGCTGTCTGAACTGCTCCAGCAACTCTGACACATGGGGACGTCCTGTCCTGAAGGGATGGGGGCATGCTAGGACTGGTTTGCGAATCTCTCCATAAATGGCCTTGCTGTCTCCAGCATGAGAGAAGGTTGGAGCGTAAAGAGCAGATTTCTGCGGTGTCCCTTGTGCTTCCTGAAAGGAGTCCCACACTCAAGCTCACCCCCACGGTGGATGTGCTGGACCAGGACCCTGGGGTGCTCGGGGCCCGAGGGTGCCAGGATTAGAACCTCCACACCCAGAGGTTCCTGCCTGGGGCCTGCATCACCCGTGGCGTCTCCTGCCTGCCCCGGATTCCTCCTCTTTCTTCCCTTTGCCGTTTTTTCTGGCTCCTTTAGCTGCAGGTCCACAGCTGGCTTTTCTCCAGCTCTCCTGCATACTGGCTGAGAAGGGCACCTATGTCATTGTTGCTGGCTGTTTGCGCTGCTGTAATGCAATCCCTGAGACTGGGGGATGTATACAGGACAACACTGATTTCTCATAGTCGTGGAGGCTGGGAAGTCCAAGATCGAGGCACTGGTAGGTTCGTGTCTGGTGAGGGCCCCAGTCTGCTTCATAGCTGGTGCCCTTGGCTGTGACCTTCAGAGGAGGTGAACGCTGTGTCCTCAAGTGGGAGGCAGCAGAAGGGCACATCCAGCAGTGAGGCTGTTGCTATAACAAATACCTACAACTGTGGAAGCAGCTTTGGAACTGGGTAATGTAGAGGCTGGAGGATTTGGAAGGTGCATGCTAGAAGCAGCCTAGATTCTCATGACCACAGAGAATCACCACTAAGGGTGATTCTGGCAGGTCCTCGGAAGAGGGTGCTGCGGAAAAGCCCAGTTCTCCTCACACTTAAATGGTTGTGAACAGAAAGTTAGTAGAAATATGGAGAGTGAAGACTATTCTGATGGGGTCTTAGAAGTGAGGATTTTTTTTTCTTTGAGACAGGGTCTGGCTCTGTCACCCAGGCTGGAGTGCAGTGGCGAGATCTCAGCTCACTGCAGCCTCAGCCTCCTGGGCTCAAATGATTCTTTCACCTCAGCCTCCTAAATAGCTGGGACTGCAGGCTGCCCTACCCCGCCCTGCCACCTCACATGGCAGCTGTTCTTTATTCATAATCCCCACTGTCTGTCTCTGCTTCTCTTCTCCCTTTCTCTTCTCTCTCTGTCTTTTGGGGTTTCGTCATGTTGCCCACACTGGTCTGAAATCCTGGGCTCAAGTGATCCTCCCACCTCAGCCTCCCAAAGTCCTGGGATTACAGGCGTGAGCCACCCCACCCAGCCAGAAGTGAGGAATATCTTACTGGACGCTAGAGGAAAGACCGACCTTGTTGCAAAATGGCAAAGATCTTGGCTGAATTATGTCCATGTTCAAGTGCTCTGTGTAAGGAGAAGTTTAGGAGCCAGAAGCTGGGACATTGCTAATGCTGCATGGAGCCTTTTTCAGAGGAGTCTTAATCCCATTCGCATGAGAGGAGGCCTTCCTCACCGCCTACTCCCCTCCCAAAGGCCCGGCCTGTTACATTTCATTGCAGGAATTTCGGATGGGATGCATTCACACCAAAGCGTCACCCTCCTGAGTACCTCTCTGAAGCCACCTTGGAGCCTGGGCTCCCCCAGGCATGGGACAGCACACCCCGTCCACTGGAGCCGACCCTGATGAATGCAGGCTCACTGGCTTTGCCACCGCATGCCCCCGGAGGCATCAGACGCTGCTTGTCTCTGCTGCCTTTGAAAGGTGTGCGTGGAGTCGCAGGCCTGAACTACATGAGATCGAGACGGAAACCCCGCCAGGCACCAACTAACGGATGCCCAGGCTGGAGTGACCCTCCTCCTCACCCTGGCAGCAGAGACCCACGTTGGCCATCGAGAAAGAACCGACGCCTAGCGAGAAGTGACAGGGAACATTCAGGATCCCCCGCCTGCCCCCGTCTGGACCTTGAGATGAGGAAGGACTTTGTCGTTTTTGTCACTTTAACCGAATCTTGGACAATCACCGCCCAAAGCGTGCACTCTGTGGGCTGTTTAAAAAATTATATGCGCACAGACTCTAAAGGAAAAACCAGAGACAAACCGCTCATATTCCATGAACCTTCCTTCTGCATAAACCGCCACGTGTCGCTTGGCAAAGCCGTGGGCCTGGCAGTGGGGTTAGCCTTTCCCACTCAGGAACCGCGCTGGCCACGTTTCTGCCGGCATCAGCGCCCCTGAGCTGCTTTCCAAAGCGCGGCGTCAGGAACGTCACTCTTCACTGTTGAATTCAACGTGGGCACCTTTAATGGCTCAGTCATTTTTTTAAAAAAAATCAAAATTCCACGCAGGGGCCTTGGTTCCAGAGCTCCCTTTCCAGGAGGCTGTTGCGCGGGCTGGCCACCAGGTGGCACTGTTGCATAGCAAAAGGAACGCGGCTCCGCGCTGGAGAACCGGGCCGGGCTGCGCGGAAGCCCTGGAGGGCCAGCCGGGTGGAGGGAGCTGCAGGAGGGGGCGGCGTGCTTTCCGGGGGTGCAACTTGGTTTTCCCTGGAGGGATAAAGCTCTCCTTTGGCAGGTGCCTGGGGGTGCCCTTTAAAGCAGGGAGCCCAGGGAAGACCCAGCTCTCTTCCTGTGAGCTCATCCCTGGCATTCAGGGTGAAGGACCTGCAGCCTGGTCTCGGAAACGGCCCTCCAAGGCCTCCTTGTCCCCTGAAGCACACAGGCAGACCGCGGGTCGGGGTGCACCGTGGCTGTCCCTTCCCTCCAATGCTGGGCGACCCGGGCGGGTGGCCACCGCCTGACCTGGGCCTCCTGGCTGCCAGCCTGCACGCCCTGGGTGCAGAGGCAGGCGAGCCTGGCCTGGTCTGAACAGTCTTATGAGGATTCTCTGGGCCCGTGTGCTCCCGCCTGCCCCTGAAGGGCGTAGTGGAAGCATCCGAACATGCACTGGGTACCCTCGTGGCCTGGGACAGCCCTTCCCTGCTGGGCTCCTTGCTTTGTGTTAACCCTGAGGCCTGGGAGCCTGAGTTGGGGAAACGGGGGACTCCAGACAACACCCAGCTTGGATGCCGGCGTCCACTTCTGCTCAGAGAATCCAGTCAACTCAGGGCTTTGGGCTTTCCCATGACCAAAGAAAAGAAGTCAGTGAATGAGAATCAAATAAAGGAAATGATTTTCTGCCACCACCGGGGCGCAGACTTGCTGTCCATACCACTGTCCCTGGCTGTAGCACCCATGTGTGCCTGTGTGTCCAGAGGCCCACGGAGCCCAGATGGGCCTGGGGATGATTTCAGCCTCCAAGGAGGCCGCCCATCTCTTCCGGTGGCCCCTGCTTCTCACCCAGTGTGGGCCAGGCCCACCTGAATGCTGAGGGCAAGGACGAGTGGTCGTTACCTAAACGAGCCAGAGATGGCCTCTGGGGACTGGCCCTTGGGTCACTTATTTCTTCCCTGCAGGCTGAGCTCATTAGTTCAAGAGCCCACTGGCACCAAACTCAGATTTTTATACATTCAATTGTTTTAAAAATAGCCCCAAACAAGCAGACTTTCAGCCATTTAGAGCCTGCCTGTTGCATGTATTCTGCAAAACCTCACCTGGCAGCTGTTCGCTATTCATCATCCTCACTCTCTGTCTATCTCTCTGAGTCCATCTCTGTCTCTGTCTCCATCTCCATCTCTGTCTCTGCCTCTGTTTCCGTCTCTGTCTCCATCTCTGTCTCTGCTTCTCTTCCCCCTCTCTCTTGCTCTCTCTCCCTTCTCTCTCCGTCTTTCTCTGTCTCTTGCTCTCTCTCTTCCTTCTTTCCCCCGCTCTCTCCCTTTCTCTCCCCTTTCTCTCCCCCACCCCTACCACCCTGTCTCTCTTATCTGTATGATGGGGAATGAAGGATGCAGCAATGGCCGCCCATGTGTCGGTGGGAGCTCACTTCCCCAAGCCTTTACTTGAGGGGACTCTGAAGGGCTTCATGTCGCGTCAGCTTGTGATACGCACAAGCCGACTGCAGCAGACACAGCTGGGCCCTGTGTGCACATCTTCGCCCACCTCGAGGTCACCTGTGGACACCAGCATGGAGTCCAGCCTGTGGGGAAGGCTGGAGTCAGGGAGGCTAATGCCCTTCTAGGGGCAATCTGTACTAATGAAAGAGAAATAACTCAGAGGACACCATGGCGTCCCCTGCAGCCTTGCAGAGGGTCCCCAGCAGCTGTTCCTGCACTGAGGCCTCCTTGGCCTCCTCCTCCCTCTTCCCTGCGCTTCCCCGAATCCGCCCCCAACCCGTGAGCTTTGCCCTCCAGCCTTTGGCTCAGTGTCTGTTTTTGAGGAAACATAAACTAAGATAACAGCCTTGTGATTTCAGGGCTCCCTGTGACCGCAGCAGGGCCTGGGTTATCCGGGCGGATGCAGCTGTCCACAGACAGGCCTGAGGCTGGGCAGGGGGTAGGGGGCTGTGGCCTGCGTGTGCCTCTGTTCCCATTCCCGTCCCCTTCTTCCTTGAGGAGCACACGCCTTCTCCACTGTCACATTCCTCCTGCATCAGGAGCCCCCTGGAACCCGCGGCTTCGGGTCTGGTGCACCCTGTGGGGCCTCATGCCACTTGGTGTCACGTACTCAAGAGTTTATTTTCCCACAGAAATTTAGGAGAAAGTAGGGATTGTTTGTAGTCAAAGGAAGAAGTGTTCCTCAGTGGATGGAGAAGGCCTGGCTGTGCTCCAAGGCCCTGGGCCCTGCATACTCATCTCCTGGGGCTTCCTGAAGCTCCCTGTGGAGCGTGAGCCTGCCGGGCCACCTGGAGCACAGGGGGCCTCCAGGGACAGTGGGGGCACTGCGGGCCGGGCCCACGAGTGGGCTCCTTCACCTGGGCCTCCCCCAGGGCTGACAGCCCCTTGGATCCCAGGGAAATGCGTCCCAACCACAGAATGAGGTGCTGCTGGGGTACCTCCTTCCTCGAGCAGGACAGCCAGTCATGGTGCCCCTCTCTGAGTGGCATGGGCATCCAGGTAGAAGAGTGCCAGGACATGCCTGGGCAGCACCCTCTGGGATGCCACGGGCTCTATCCCCAGCTGCCCGCTGTGCCTCATTCTGGGGTTGATGGGTGCCAGGGCTCCCGCATGCTGGACCAGCAGGGCACCCTGCAAGGTGGTGCCGCCTTGAGGCAGTGCCAGGAGGTGACGGCTCGCCCACACAGGCTCCCGAACATCAGGGATACGCAGTAAAGACAACCTCATTCTAATGTTCTGTCTGTTTGGATAGGGACAAACACAGCCCAGATCTCAGCCCCCCGGCAGACACCAGACACCGCAATGATTTGCTCCAGCAAGCCAACTGTCCCGGAGCGGTAGCTGCTGGAGTCCTGATCCAACTCCACTATTGTCATTCCTATACCCAGGTGTGGGCGATCTGTGCTGTTAGACCTGGGGGGCTGCAATGGGTGGGACGGAAGCCTCTGGACCCCCAGTCCCTGGTGTAGAATGGTTCCTGGGAGTCTGGAAGAGGTGCCATTTCTCACGCGCCTGTCGGGGATGGACTGACAGCTGCAGGACCCACCTCGCCGCTTCTAGCTGTGGGTCCATGCAGCCAACACAGAGGTTTGTGGTCACTGAGGACATTCGTGCAGACACTTTGTCCAGTGCCCGAGGGGACAGCTGCAGGCCAGCTGTAGAGTCCATGCAAGTTCTGCCCTGAGCGGTTTGCATTGAAATCCAGGCAGTCGTCTGCTCTCCACACACTTCCACTCTGACTGGGAGGGGGCCGCAGTGTCCTTCAACCCCATGGGTCAGCGTCCACAGGCCCTGGATGATTTAGGCAGAGTTATACCAGTAAAAGACCACAGCTGTCTGGGGAAGCCAGGAGCATGCCTGGCACCCACTCAGATGCTGCCCTGGCAGCAGCCTTGTTCAGGGTCCCAGTCTCCTGCACATCCGGGACGCTGAGCAGGGCTGGCTGTCAAGTGGGGCTGGCTGCCGTGCTCACCTGCCTTCTGCTGCTGGGGGCCGGGGGACTGTGCTTCTTCGCCTTTAGTGGTGGAAGGAAAATACTCATGTAACAAAAACTATACACATGAAGTGTTTTCCCCCAAAGAAACAAGGGTGCTAGCCGGAAAGATGATCAGCTGCCAGAAAACCAAATAAAATAGCAAACCTTCTCTATAGGTGCCCAAGATGCCCTTGACAAAACTCCAAAGCCACTCATGGCAAAACCCAAAGCCAAAGAGAGATGGGAGGAAACTGCTCAAACATGAGGAATCGTGCTTCTCAGGAGCCAGTGGTGAACACGACCTTAACATATGAAATGCAAACCACTGTCATTCGAATGAGAACTAACGTGGTCCCCGTCACCCCCATCATTTATTTTGGTTCTAGCCACCGCAGGAGGATCACAGAATAACACAGGCCATGTAGGGAAATTGCAGCCTGGCCGGGCATGGTGGCTCACATATGGAATCCCAGCACTTTGGGAGGTTGAGGTGGGCAGATCACCTGAAGTCAGGAGTTAGAGACCAGCCTGGCCAACATGGTGAAACCCCATCTCTATCAGAAACACAAAATTATCTGGCCATGGTGGCAATTGTCTGTAGTCCCAACTGCTTGGGAGGCTGAGGCAGGAGAATCACTTGAACCCGGGAGGAGGAGGTTGCAGTGAGCCGAGATGGTGCCACTGCACTCCAGCCTGGGTGACAGAGCGAGACTCCATCTCAAAAAAAAAAAAAAAAAGAAAAGAAGGAAAGAAAGAAAGAAAGAAAAAAGAAAGGAAAGAAAGGAAGAAAATTGCAGCCTGCCTGAGTGGGGTGTCCTGCTGGTGAGGTGAGTGCTGCTGGGGTCTGGGCTTGTTGCTGACATATGCCTTGAGAAAGGTTTGAATAGGGCCGGGAACAGTGGCTCACACCTGTAATCCCAGCGCTTGAGAGGCTGAGGCAGGCAAATCACTTGAGATCAGGAGTTCAAGACCAGCCTGGCCAATATAGTGAAACTCCGTTTCTACTAAAGACCCCCCCCAAAAAAAACAAAAAAAAAACAAAAACAAAATTAGCCGGGTGTGATGGCTCATGCCTGTACTCCCAGCTTCTTGGGAGGCTGAGGCAGGAGAATCGCTTGAACCCAGGAGATGGAGGTTGCAGTGAGCCGAGATTGCACCACTGTAATCCAGCCTGGGCGACAGAGCGAGACTCCATCTCAAAACAAAACAGAAAGGTTTGAATGTTCCTCAGCCACTTGAGTGGCCCGGTCTGCCCAAGTATGAGAGATTTCCAGGGATGCAGGGCTTTCAATGCTAAGAATCATTTTAAAAAGGCAGTCTCCGGGAGTGAGTGGGTCGCCCTAGCGGCTGTGACTGGTGGCGCCCTTCCCCGCCCCTCACCAGCCCTGAAGAAACTGCCCCTCATTTTTGTTTTTCTTTGCATTTGTGTGATGGCTGCTAACTTTCTTGCATGCACATTGGCCATGAGTGTTTCCTGTAAGATATAAGTTTCCTGTGTGTATTATTTGCCCATATTTCTTTTCTTTTTTTTGAGACGGAGTCTCACTGTGTTGCCCAGGCTAGAGTGCGGTGGTGCCATCTCGGCTCACTGCAGCCTCCACCTCCCGGGTTCAAGCAATTCTCCTGTCCCAGCCTCCGAAGTAGCTGGGATTACAGGCGCCCGCCACCATGCCTGGCTAATTTTTGCATTTTTAGTGGAGACAAGAGTTCATCATGTTGGCCAGGCTGGTCTCGAACTCCCGACCTCGTGATCCACCCACCTCGGCCTCCCAAAGTGCTGGGATTCCAGGCATCAGTCACGGCACCCAGCCCATATTTCTACAAAGATTTTGTCTTCATCTTTTAAGTTCAGAATGTAAATACCCTGTGGCTCTTCCATCTTGTTTTGGGCCTTAGTCTGAATTGCGCCCTGTCACCACAAGGTGCATGAACAAGGGCACTGGCACTGCCTTCAGTGTCACAGAAACAACAAAACGATGCCAAACACACGACGTGAAATGCTGAGATCTCCATCAACAGGTGACCGCCGAATTCACGACGATCCAACGTAACCGTGGAAGCTGATGGAAAAAAGGAGGTGCATATACATATTGATGTTACAACCGTCCCATGTTAGGCTGGGCGCGGTGGCTCAAGCCTGTAATCCCAGCACTTTGGGAGGCCGAGGTGGGCGGATCACGAGGTCAGGAGATCGAGACCATCCTGGCTAATACGGTGAAACCCCGTCTCTACTAAAAATCCAAAAAATTAGCCAGGTGTGGTGGCGGGCACCTGTAGTCCCAGCTACTCGGGAGGCTGAGGCAGGAGAATGGCGTGAACCCGGGAGGCGGAGGTTGCAGTGAGCTGAGATCGTGCCACTGCACTCCAGCCTGGGTGACAGAGCAAGACTCCGCCTCAAAAAAAAAAGAAAAAAAAATAAGAAAGAAATCTGCAGGTTTATGAGCATGAGCACAGACAGTGGGTGAAACAGACACTAAGAGGTGTTCACACTGACAGCGGAAGGATCAGGACGAGAAGGGGTTGGGGGAAGTTTTTCGCTTTTAATTTTTGTACCCCCTATTGTTTACCCAGTAAGAATGGTCGGGTATTCCTTTTATAATTAAAGGAAGTAATCCATTGAAGAAAATAAAATAAATAAAGTTGAAAAAGATGCATGCCTATTGTGGGCCTTTCTTTTAGGTAAAAATAATGTCTAGAAAAATGAAAACCAAAATTTCTAACCATACTTTTTTTAAAGAAAGAAGTTGGTAAAGATAAAAACATAAATTAGGCCAGACTCGGTGGCTCACACCTGTAATCCCAGCACTTTGGGAGGCCGAGGTGTGTGGATCACAAGGTTGGGAGATTGAGACCATCCTGGAGAACACAGTGAAACGCTGTCTCTACTAAAAATACAAAAAATTAGCCGGGCGTGGTGGCGGGCGCCTGTATTCCCAGCAACTCAGGAGGCTGAAGCAGGAGGATGGTGTGAACCCGGGAGGTGGAGCTTGCAGTGAGCCGAGATCGCGCCACTGCACTCCAGCCTGGGCGACAGAGCGAGACTCCGTCTCAAAAACAACAACAACCACAAAAACCCAAAAAACATAAATTAAAGAAATAGAAAAGAAGAGCTGAGCATTTCACAAACGGAGAGCAGGTGTCTGGTGTTTGGTGTGTTCCGGTCGAGTGTAGTCAGGAAAAGGAAGCCGCGTTGTCTGCGGGGCGGGGGCCTGTGCTTGTGGCTGCAGCAGCCCCTTCCCATCAGATAAGGACATTGTTCATGCGCGGACTGGCACCCAGGACAAAAACAACACCCACAAAACCTGGTAGCCCCACTTAATGTTCCCCTGCCGCGGCGGCTGGAGGATGGAATTACCAGAAGCAATTAGACAAAGGAGGTTCAGAACCACAGGCATGGAATTAACTAACTTTATTTAAGATGACATGTGGAGAGACTGGAAGGACACCTTCGCTCTGTCTGGGAAGCCGTGAGGCTGAGGGGGCTGTCCCCCGCCCGGGTCCCGTGGGGAGCCCATCTTCTACCAACCCATCCCAGGTTCAGCAGGGTCTCTTGCTTTTGTTCGGAGCGCAGCAGGAGGCCACTGAGGTGCCCACAAAGGGGAGAGATGGGAGGCAGACCATGTTCTCAGTGACCACTGTCTCTGCTGTGTGATGAGGGGTTGTCTTGGGGAGGAAAGAATGCATGTGACCGGCAAAGCTGCAGAAACTCAGCTTAGAACAGGTCACAATCATGGTAGCAAACACTGGGGTGGGGAAGTCGGCCCTGACTGAGAGGCCAGGATGGATCCCAGGTACGTCTCTGAGGGGAAAGGAACAGGGCCCGTCACGAGCAGGAGGTGCCGCTGAGGAAAAGCAAGTTTCTGATGTGACTCCTGACTTCTCACAATGGGGCGTGGCACCAGCAATCAGAAGGGTAAAGGCTGTGGGTCGAATCAGAAGGTGCATCATACGTATGCCGAGATCAGACGCCTGTGACACGGCCAGGAGGTGTGCAGAACACAGCCCATGATGAGACTGCCCCTTGGGCACAGTTAGGGACTGCAGGATCATATTTAAAATTTCTGGTGCACAGATGTTGTGTAAAGAGACTGGGAGAGCGGGAGATTGGGAGAGGGGAAGGAGAGGAGGAGGGGGAGAAGGAGAAGAGAGAAGGCCTCCAGGAGCCTCAGAGCTGATGGACGCGGAGAAGCTGCGAAGCCTACACAGGGGACAGCCGGGAGGGTAGGGGCAGCAGGTGAGAGGAGAGAGGGCGTTAAGCTGGACGGGGTGAGCTGTGCGGGTCACCACAGGCGCAGAGGGATGATGAGCACAGAACACTGCCTTCGGGGGCTTGGGTGACCACGAAGACGTGTGTCAGGCTGGAGACCCTACCCTGCTTAGAAGCTGAATGTCAGTCTATGACTGTCTCATGGGTACCAATAAACATACTCCCCATGGCCCTGTCCCACTCTCCACGGCCCTGTCCCACTCCCCACGGCCCTGTCATACTCCCCACGGCCCTGTCAAACTCCCCACGGCCCTGTCATACTCCCCACGGCCCTGTCAAACTCTCCACTGCCCTGTTGCACTCCCCACAGCCCTGTCGCACTCCCCACGGCCCTGTCCCACTCCCCACGGCCCTGTCACACTCCCCACGGCCCTGTCCCACTCCCCACGGCCCTGTCCCACTCCCCACGGCCCTGTCACACTCCCCACGGCCCTGTCCCACTCCCCACGGCCCTGTCACACTCCCCACGGCCCTGTCCCACTCCCCACGGCCCTGTCCCACTCCCCACGGCCCTGTCCCACTCCCCACGGCCCTGTCCCACTCCCCACGGCCCTGTCATACTCCCCACGGCCCTGTCCCACTCTCCACGGCCCTGTCCCACTCCCCACGGCCCTGTCACACTCCCCACGGCCCTGTCACACTCCCCACGGCCCTGTCCCACTCCCCACGGCCCTGTCAAACTCCCCAAGGCCCTGTCACACTCCCCACGGCCCTGTCACACTCCCCACGGCCCTGTCCCACTCCCTACAGCCCTGTCGCACTCCCCACATCCCGTGGCATCTGGCTGTACATGGAAGTGAGGAAGCTGCTGTCTCCCCCAAAGAACATTGCTCCCAGCCAGGGCTCAGCCCTGTGGGGCAGGACTCAGAGGCTCCTGGTTCAGAGACCAGGGCCCTTGTCACTTGCAGCGTGAACAGCAGGGAACTTTGCCCCCGAGTCCCACAACAGAGGTGGGGACCTTGTCACGGTGGGCCCAGGTGTGACAACACAGGGCCAGCGATTCTTCACCCGGCAGCAAACACTGCAGCAGACGACAAACATTGCAGCCCTTGGCAAACAAAAAGCACGCAGCAAACAGCGTGGTCAGCGAAAAGACCCTCCCCTCCCCGGGGATCAGACAGTGCAAGGCCATCCCCGGGATGACCTGCACCCACCCGGCTGCCTGTGTGACCAGCCACAGAACCCACTCTGCATTAGCACCCACGGCCAGGACAGGCAGGGTGCTGCGCCCGTGGCTTCCTGCATCTGCCGACACCACCCGAGGCTGCCAGGCCACAACATGAAGTCAGCTGTGCCAGGAAATCCCAAGCCTCGCCCACACCTGGCCCCGGGCTGTTGCTGCATGCCAAGGGGTTGCCCACCTGGCTGTGGCTGCCTTACCCCATGGAATCCAGGCTCCAACTGACCTCACCATTCTGTGGGTTAATTTTCATTCTTAAAACCTTCATCTAAAGACCTTTGCTTCCTGGAACACAGGCCTGGGTTTTCCCAACAGTCGTGGGCACCCGGCCTGGCACGTGCTGCTCAGTGGAGGGACCTCACAGCCCGTTCTATGTGAGCTGTGCAGGAAAAGCTCCACGGACAAACTCACTCTCCGTGACAATCAGGAGGTTTCTTCTCCAACCACAAGAAGGAGCTGGGGGAGCTCGTGAGGCCAGGAAGAGAACAGTCCTAATCCCATCCTTCCCCTCCTCAGCAGTGACCCCAGGGTCTGCTGTCCTGCCCCAACCCACACTTCAAAGAAGGAAGGACACCTGCCTTCCCCTGCTACCTCACACCCCGAAGCATGGGGAGCATGGGGACCCTTGGCAGAGTCCTTTTGTAGTGAAGAATAACAGACTAGTGTAAAATAGCAGAAAAGAAGCTAATGGCCAAACACATCCAAGCTGGGGAAAACACCTGTTAAATATAATGACAGAATATGCTCTCATCAAAACCCAGGAAACTTTAAGAATACACTAAACCTCACAAAATGGGGGCGAAATACAATGATGACCACACGTATGAGAAATGGTCAATGGTAGAATTGAAAGAAATGCAAGGGAAATGAAAGATAAGGGGTCCTTTCCAAGCAAAGTGGCAACGCCACAACAGCTCGCAGTCAGTCTTGGCGGGACAAGAATGCTGGGCAGTGCTGGTTTGCAGGGAGGGGTCAACTTTTCTGGAAGCAGCCCAGCAAAGTGCCCCACGAGCCATCAATTATTCCTGTGCTTCGCAGCCACAGCCCACGAATGCAGGTGCAGCCACAGAAGCGCTGGCAGAGGGGAGGCTGAGAGTGGCGCTGGTTGAAGATTTCTCACAGGAAACAAAAGGCACAGCCTCCACGTGGCTCATGGCCATGAAAACCCTTGACTCAAAACTTTCCACGTCGTGAGGAAGACGCGGGTCAGCTGCCCTAGTTGGGTGATGATGATGCTGTCAGGGAAAGCGTCTGTGCCTATGTGGGGAGAGTAGGGGAGTGAGAAACAAAGCAAAGCGTGGTGGCTCTGTGGCTCCAGTGCCCCGGAGGCCACGGCTCACTTTTTCACAATGAACATGGGCTATTTTCATTTTTTAAAGTCTACTAATGTTTCTAAGGAGACCATACAGAACCGAAAATTCTGAATAACCTTGTCTTCCATAAGGCAGACTTTTCATTTCTGTCACCTTTCCGGAAGGGCTGGACACAGAGTCTGTGGGTCTGTGATGGAGGCGCCACCATCTCACCCCGAGTCCACGGCCCTCAGTCTCTGTGCTCCCCGAGCCGAAGGTGAGGAATCCATGCCTTATGGTTGGCGAGGGCTGCTGGGGCACCTGCCATCTCATCTGCATCCTGGGAAGCAGGAAGGAGCACAGAGGAAAACACAAGCCTGCTCTGGCCAGCTCAGTGTGCTCCTTCCAGAAACAGGTAAACACAAAATTACCCTGCGAAGCCGCCATTCCATTCCTAGGTCTATCCCCAAAAGAAATCAAAGCAGGGACTCAAATACTTGCACAGCCCTTGCCACGACCTGGATGTAGTCAGTGCATCTGTTCCCAGCAAAACTCTTGTTGAAACGGGACCCCCAGTGTGGCAGCGTAGGGAGGTGGGGCCTGAGGGGAGGGAGACGTGTGGGTCGTGGGAGTGACTCCCTGGGGAGTCCGTGGTGCTGGGAGTGATTCTCCTCTTGTGATACAGGGTGAGTTCCCATGGGAATGGATTTGTTCCCATGAGTGGGGCTTGTTCTGAAGCCAAGACATCCCTGAGCTTTATCTCTCTTCCCGTGTCTGCTTCCCCTTTGACCTCCTCCAGCAGAAGCCAGGGCCATGCCATTGAACTTCTCAGCCAGCAGAACTGTGAGCTTGATGAATTACCCCATCACAGAGGTTCTTTTATGGCTACACAGAATGGACTCAGACACCCATGCTCACAGCCGTGCAGTCACAATAGCCCAAAGGTGGAAACAACCCAGCAGGTGAGGGGATCTGAAATGGGGTAGACAAACACATCGGGGTCTTACGGAGCCTGGAAAAGGAGTGTGCTCTGACGCCTGCAGCAACGCCACCAACCTTCACAGCCTCGTGCCGAGTGAAGCCAGCCAGTCACAATAGGACCAATGCTGTGACCCCACAGATGGAAGGCCCCCAGAGGAGTCAGATTCAAGAGGAAGATGGCAGAATGGCAGTCAGCAGGGCCAGTGACAGAGGCCGATGGGAGTGAGTGATTAGTCAGGACGGAGCTCCAGTTTCGCGCGATGAAAAGGTGCTGGAGCTGCATGGTGGCGACAGTGGCACAGCCACGTGCAGGTTCCCAATGCCACGGAACTGTGCACTTACCATGGGGATGGTGGGAACTCTCATGTACCCGCATTTGACCAGAGAGGAAGGAAGGAAGGGAGGGGGGAGGGAGGAGGGAGGGAGGTAGCAGAGAAGGAAGGAAGGAAGGGAAGGGGGAGGGAGGAGGGAGGAGGCAGGGAGGGAAGAAGGAAGGAAGTGAGGGAGGGAGGAAGGGAGAGAGGGATGGAGGGAGGGAAGAAGGAAGGAAGGACGGACCAGCCTGTTAGGCTGACTGACAGAGTACCCCCTGTCCTCCAATGCTGCCCACGGCAGGCATGTGGCAGTGGCTGACAGGGAGTGAGTCTGGAAGCGACCCTTGTCGGGGCAGCCTCCTTGGTCCTGTGATTCAAGACAGGGTGAAAGTCAGTGGCGGCCATTGGTGCCTCTGGCCGGGGTTCCTCACAGGGGCCCGCAAGGGGACAGCGAATGGAGCGTGGAGGGTGGAGGGCTCCTTCTCCAGACCGGAGCGATGGGTTCGGGAGCCATTCTGTGCCTGTCTTTGCTGCTGGGCTGAGGAGCTGGATGGCATGCTGGGAGTAGTGGGAGCTGCTGAGGAGTTTGGTCCTGGAGCGAAGAGGCTGAATCCGCATGTCTGGAGTCACCGTGGAGGGCACAGCTAGAGGGAGCAGCAGGGTGTCCCAGGGAGAAGACACCAGGGCTGGAATTAGAGGGACATCAAGGCTGATACTTAGAGGCATCCAATATATGGGGCCTGCCTGATGGGCTGCTCTCAGGTGGGATTTGGGGGGTGTGAGAGGGGTCAGTGCCCAAATGACCATGGGGTCCGTGGCCTGTATGCCCAGTCAGGTGACGACGCCATTCAGAAAGTAGATCTCATGGGGTGCCCGGCTGCTGAGTCTCAGGCCAGATCTGCAGTGAGTGTGCTGCCCCAGGCGTGGAACACTCTGGTGCCATCGGGACCCAAGGCTGAGTGCACCCAAGAGCTGTGGGTCTGAAACAGCGGTCAGAGGTCACTGACATGTGGAGGAGGCCCCTGGAGTGTGGGAGACAGAATCCCCAGGTGTCAGGCTTGGCAGGAGGCTTTGCAGGTGGGGAGGAAGGGCAGGTAGCGTGGCTGCCGGAGGAGGGAGGGCACTGGTAGGAGGAGGGTGGCCTGTCCCGGGCAGACCAGCCTCTTTGGGCTGTGTGGCCCCAGCTCCCTGAGCCCAGAGGGAGGTGAGGGTGAGAAGGCCTGGACCAGGCAGGACGCAGCCCCCAGGGCCCCTGCTGGGAAGAGGTCAGAACCTCCCAAGGACCCAGAAGGCCAGGTAACTGAGAACGGGGCTGCTCTCTGAATCTCCAGGGAGGACAAAGGCGGCCATGGCAGCAAGGGGACAGGGCAGAGGGAAAGGCCGGCAGGTGGATGTTGGAAGCCGCAGATTCCCATCCAGTATCCTAGAGGAGGAGACCCAGGGCTGTGTCCTAGGAGGCCCAGGAAGCCTGGTCAGCCTGGAGGCTGAGGGCGGGCCCGGGAGATCTGGTAAGGACATCAGTGTCTCCACGAAGAGCAGCAGGGTCTCAGCCCATGGCAGCCGCAGGCCCCATGACTGGGGCCGCAGCCTCCAGAGCCGCCACAGCAGCCCGTTGTTCTGGGGGGTCAAAGGTGGAGGCTGTCAGAGGGGCAGTGCAGGGGGCTGCTGGGGTGAAGCCCCCTGTAGCAGCAGCACCCAGCCTGCTGTGGCTCTGCCCTCCTGGACCCCCTGCCCTCCTGGACCCCCTGTCCTCCTGGACCCTCTGCCCTCCTAGACCCCCTGCCCTCCAGGACCCCCTGCCCTCCTGGACCCCCTGTCTGTGGCCCCTGCTCCTCTCCTCCTTCCCCGACACATGACTGGACCCCCCGATCTGCAGCCGGGGTCTGGGCACTGGGGGTCCTGTGGACCTCTCGGTGTCTGGGGACAATCACAGGTTCCCGTGCCCACACCCAGCCTCTGCTTCCAGAACACACTAGAGGGTCCCGGCATCCTGATGAGTCCACTGTCCCCGCGATGGTTTTCAGGGATGGAGAAGGCTCCCTGTCCTCCGCTGGAACCCTGCAGCCGGGCTGACGGTACCCCCACCACCCACCCAGGGGCCCCAGACCCTCCCCATCTCCACCGCCAACCCAGGCCCCGGCTGCGCACGCGGGGCCAGGCCGTGAGCTGCTGTCCCCGGATGGGGCCGCCCCGGGCTGGCCTGGCTCACTCCGTGTCACAGATATTCCCACAGAGACCCCAGCGAGACCTGCAGAACATTACAGCAGAATGAAGGAGAGCCAGAGGAAGAGGCAGATGTGCTGGCCTGTAAACAGTCTGATTTCCAATGTAAACCAGATTCAGGCCCACGACATCAGGTAAACATCTGCATCAGAGCCCCCGGCCCCCCACCGCCCGGGAGGCCCCGGGGTCCACACGGCCGACTCTGGGACCCGTCACAGTGACCGCCGAGACATTTCGTAATTAGGCAAAATTGATCCTTGCATTCCTTCCCTAAATCCCAAATCTCTGCAATTTTACTTCTTCTCAAAAATGAAAACATTTGGCAATTAGCTGATCCAAGTGAAAAAGGTAGAGAATGTGCTCTCAACTGGAAAATGCCAATTAAGGAAGCAGCTCTGACTTCCCACCCGCCCTGGCTAAGCTGGGAGCTTATCTTCCCCGAGAAGAATCTGCTGGGATAAGGGGGCTTGGGAAACACCGAGGGCAGGGCTGCCTCCTCAGCTTCCTCTGAGAGCAGATTAGCCGTGGCCTTGTGCCAGCAGGGCCTGGGTGCCACACAGGGTGGCAGGGGTGGCAGAGCCGGGCCCGGCTCTGGTACTGGGATTTGGGGTGGCGGGACCCAGTGGGGCACCCGCTTGTGGGCGGCACTGAGGGCGGTGACGTAGGCAGCGGGTGCCGGTGTCTGCCCCTCCATCTGGCCGGGCTCCCCACCCTGCTCCTGCAGCCCTGGACCTCAGGGCCCATTTGCGGTGCAAGGCGGCTCTTGGCCATTTTGCCCGCAGGGCCCTACCTTGGGTCTTGGGAGCTTCTGTCCCTTGCCCTCTCTTGTCCAGGTCAGCATCTCCCACTGTGGGAATCCTATGTGGCCCCATCGTCTGGACAGTGTGGGTCAGGTCACTGTGGCTGTTTTGTGATGCGTGTGTGGGCTCATCCCTCAGTGCTCAGAAGCTGCAGACACTATGGAACCGCTTTTCAGGCCCCGTGGCCGTCACCCCCGCTCTAGAGACTTGATTGCAGGGACCATGCCCGGCCGGCCTAACTGCACCCCTCACTCCAGGTGGGTGGGGGGACCCAGGCCTGCTGGCCCCTGTGGTGGTGCAGCCCAGAAGGTGTGAATCAGTTTACACTGTTCAGTGCCTGAATAAAAGTCACAGGACAAAGAGGACTTGGTTGCACAAACTACTGACATGAAATTCACATTTTGTCCTGAAGGAAACGCAAGATGAATTGAACTCATGTTCAGTTTTTATTTCTCATTTCTCCCGCCTCAGTCTCTTCTCACGTGCACGACCTCACAGCGCTGTCACAAGGCCTGCTGGGCACACGCAGCTCATAGAGAAGTGATGGCTTCCTCCTTGCCCCCTCACCTCCCTCCTTCCCCTCTCCCCCTCACTTCGGAGCACGCAGGCTGATTGTGGAGACATCTCCCAGCCAGGATGTGTCAACAGGGAATGTGCTGGGGACAGCGGGAGTTCACAGCCACCCCCGCAGGCGCCTTCCTGGAGCACGTCCACAGGCCATGTGCAGCTGCATCCCCCACGACGGCAGGGACAAGTTCCTTCCATAGGGCCCGGGTGGCCCCCAGAGCTGCACCATTTATGATCCGGTCCTTTGCAGAACGCAAGGGACAGACACATGAACCCTGACCTAGGTTCTTGTGCAGAAATGTTCTCTCATCGGAATAGAAAGGTATGAGTCTCAGGACTGGTTCTCTGCAAAGCAGCCATCGGCCTTTCAAGCAGAAACCATGGAGCCCCCAGAGGCTGAGTCTTCCAAGGCGCTGGGAGACTTGGCGTTTGCCTCTTTTTTAAATGCAATGACCGTTGCAGTGCATGGAATCAGAGACATGTATCTATGCGTAGAAATGAGTCTGTAAACACGATCAAGGTGTGATTTCTGTATGACAATGCAGTTGGATCAGAAATTGGAGAGTGCTGGCCGGGCGCGGCGGCTCACGCCT
The DNA here is from genome assembly GCF_000001405.40 of Homo sapiens. Lineage (NCBI taxonomy): Eukaryota > Metazoa > Chordata > Mammalia > Primates > Hominidae > Homo > Homo sapiens. Next base: position 150,889 of record NT_187584.1, read on the forward strand.
GTAATCCCAGCACTTTGGGAGGCCGAGGCGGATGGATCACTTGAGGTCAGGAGTTCGAGACCAGCCTGGGCAACATGGTGAAACCCCATCTCTACTGAAAACACAGAAATTAGCCGGGTGTGGTGGCGTGTGCCTGTAGTCCCAGCTACTCGGGAGGCTGACGTGGGAGGATCACTTGAGCCCAGGAGGCAGAGGCTGCAGTGAGTAGAGATAGCACCACTGAACTCCAGCCTGGGCAACAGACTGAGACTCCATCTCAAAAAAATAAATAAATAAATAAATAAATAAGAAAGAAAAGAAGAAATAGTGGAGTGCTGTGGTCACTCTGGAAAAAGAGGAGGGACCCCACCCAAATGTGGTTCCTCCGTCAACCCTGAAGACGCCCCCACACACCGGGACGAGATGAAAGGGTCTGGTACTTACCTAGCTGGGCTTTCACGGGGTGCACGGTGGCTTCAGGAAGGGAGCTGGCGTGGGGCTCTTCTTATGCCTCGGGGGTGGGGTGATGGCCTCACATGGGCAGGAGCCTGCAGGGCTTGAGCCTCTCACTGGCACCAAAGACACCTGCCCTGCTGTGGGGCACACGGGAAGAGGGATGGGTGAGGTGTCAAAGCAGTGAGCCGTCAAACATCATAAAAACGGAGTCAGGCTCTTTATTGCAGGAAACAATTTGCGGCTTTCTGTGCAGAGAGCAGGGGGGATTTGAGGTGGGCTTTGTAGAGTGAGGGAGTTCACCAGATTGACAGTGTGGGCTGGGTCACCCTGTGCAAAGCAGCGATTTCCATGTTGCCCCTGAGAGAATGTTTTCCTGTGATCTCCAGCATCGAGATTTAAAAATTATCATGTTCATAGTCTGATGATAAAACATTAATTTTTAGGAAGGCAGAGGACCTGCCTGCTTTTCCTGATAAGACCTCGTTCCATTGCCCTAGGTCAGGCATGGATTATTAACTCTCAGGGTTTTGGGGGACCAGCAGCCACAGATGTGGAGTCCTGGGGAAAGGGTGACAGCCTCCTCTGCCTCCGGGGATTTGTCCTTCAGTGACTTGACGCCCGCAAGAGTGGATGCTAATTCTCACCGTCCCCATGAAATCCCTGCTGACGCATGCTGCCCAGGAGACATCTCCACAATCAGCCTGCCTGCTGGAGAGAGGAAGGAGGGAAGCGAGGGTGCAAGGAGGAAGCCAGCCCTTCTCTGTGAGCTGCATGTGCCCAGCATGCCTCATGACAGCCCTGTGAGGTGAGAGGAGACTAAGGCGGGAGAAATGAGAAGCTTGCCCGAGTCACGCAACCGAAGCACAGAGCCAGGGTCTGGCGCCCTGAGAGGTCCTGGGTGCATTGGATGCTGTGCACGTACTTCAGCAAAGAGGCAGGATGTTGTCATCTTCCTTCGGAGCCAGTAACATTTTCTGCTGCCAGCAAGGAAAGAACATTGGATCACGCGCCTCCATGCAGGCAGGGTCCTTCAGTGGCGCTGATCCTGAGCCCAGCCCTCTCGTGGTCTGTGCTGACGCCAGGGCCTCTCGTTGGAAGGCCTCGTGCTCCACAGTTCCCCCACAAAGGGGAGGATGCTGAACTCTTTACCTGTAATTCTGGCCTCGAAGCAGCTGTTTTCTGCCTGGCTTCTCACCCCAGCCATGCACAGTGGAGGTGTCAGCAAATCCCTGGAGAGAAAGCCCGGTGGACACAGGGTTCCTTTCTCTGAGGCTCCCTTTCCCTGGGATCACAGTAGCTGAGTCGGGGTCTCCAGAGAAACAGAACTGGGGGTAGGGGGGTGCATAAAGTGAGAAGGAGATTTATTATAAGGCGGGGACTCATGGGGTAATGGAGGCTGCAAGTCCAGCATCTGCAGTGTGGGCAGTGTGGGTAGTGTGGGCAGTGTGGGTAGTGTGGGCAGTGTGGGTAGTGTGGGCAGTGTGGGTAGTGTGGGTAATGTGGATAGTGTGGGTAGTGTGGGCAGTGTGGGTAGTGTGGGCAGTGTGGGTAGTGTGGATAGTGTGGATAGTGTGGGTAGTGTGGGTAGTGTGGGTAGTGTGGATAGTGTGGGTAGTGTGGGTAGTGTGGATAGTGTGGGTAGTGTGGGCAGTGTGGGTAGTGTGGATAGTGTGGGCAGTGTGGGTAGTGTGGGTGGTGTGGGCAGTGTGGATGGTGTGGGTAGTGTGGGTAACATGGGCAGTGTGGGTAGTGTGGGTAGTGTGGATAGTGTGGGTAGTGTGGGTAGTGTGGATAGTGTGGGTGGTGTGGGTACTGTGGGTAGCGTGGATAGTGTGGGCAGTGTGGGTAACGTGGGCAGTGCGGGCAGTGTGGGTAGTGTGGATAGTGTGGGTAGTGTGGATAGTGTGGGCAGTGTGGGTAATGTGGGCAGTGTGGGTAGTGTGGGTAGTGTGGATAGAGTGGGTGGTGTGGGTAGTGTGGATAGTGTAGGTAGTGTGGGTAGTGTGGGCAGTGTGGGCAGTGCAGGCAGTGTGGGTTGGCCAGCTGCAGACCCAGCAGAGTCCGTGGAGCGGATGAAGTCCCAAGGCCGTCCGCTGGAGAATCTCTCTTGCTCAGGAAGGCTGGCTTTCTGCTGTATTCAAGACTTTAACTGATCGGAAGAGGCCACCCACATTACAGAAGGCAACATGCTTCACCCAAAGTTCATCCATTTAAAAGTTAACCTCAGGCTGGGCGCAGTGGCTCATGCCTGTAATCCCAACACTTTGGGAGGCCGAGGCAGGCGGGTCACCTGAGGTCAGGAGTTTGAGACCAGCCTGGCCAACATGGGGAAATCCCGTCTCTACTAAAAATACAAAAAATTAGCCGGGCATGGTGGCACACACCTGTGATACCAGCTACTCGGGAGGCTGAGGCAGGAGAATCGGTTGAACCCAGAAGGTAGAGGTGGAGGCTGCAGTGAGCCGAGATCACACCACTGCACTCCAGCCTGGGGAACAGAGCCAGACTCCGTCTCAAAAAAAATAAATAAATGAAGTTAATGTCCTCTAAATACACTTTCCAAATTGACACATAAAATTAATCATCATAAGAGAGCTGACATTCATTTTTTAATATTCAAAATAGGATCTTGCAACAAGACAGTCAGCTGGAAAGCTAGGCTTGTCGAGAGAGGCAGACAGAGAGAAAGAGAGAAACAGAGAGAAAGACAGAGAGGACTTGCTAAGTTCCTTCATCCTATCCAGAAGCAAACCCGGGAGACTTCGCCCATAGCTGCTGTGAGCGTTCGTGGGCAAATGCTTTCATTTCTCTTGCTAAATACCTAGGTGTAGAATTGGTCATATGGAAAGCGTGGACCTCACCGTTTAAGAACCCACCAAACTGTTTTTCAAAGCGGTTGCGTCGTTTAAAATCCCCTCCTCATACTGTATATTTTGTTCTGCTGACCCGTTTGTCTCTCTTGACACCAATCCCCTTCTGTCTCCATGACTGTAGCCTCACGGCGAGTCTTGAAATCACAGATCTTTGGTCCTCCAACTGTTTTCTCTTTTTCAAGATTCTTTTGGTTATTCTAGGTCCTCTGCATGTCCTTATATTTTTTATAATCAACATGGGAATTTCTCTTAAGAGAAAAGAAGCGCTTCTGGGATTCTGATTGCAATGGTACTGAATTCATTAACCCATTTGGGAAGACGTGGCATCCCGTCAATATCAAGAGTTTGACCCGTGAACGTGGTGCGCACCTCCATTTATTTCATTCACCTTGACTTTCTCCCAGCCGTGCTCTTAGCATATCTCGTACATCTTTTGTGAGATTTATTCGTAAGGATTCATGTTCTCTCTGTAATTTTAAATGGCATTTGAGTTCAATTTCTGCTGTAATACAGAAATGCAATTGATTTTTAGTGGCCTCATGAAGATAAAACTCATATCACACACTTCACCCACTTCAAGTACACAATTCGGTGGTTTTTCATATATTCGCAGAGTTGTCCAGCCGTCACCATGCTCTAACCACCATCACAATGTAATTCTAGAACATTTTTATCACCTCAAAGAAGCCATACCCATCAGCAGTCACTCCCTACTCCTCCCGCTGAGCTTCTCCGCTGGCCTTGGCCACCACTGATCTCTCCTCCCTCTCTGCGGCTTTGCCTCTGCTGAATACAAATCGGGTTCTGCTATGTTCATCCTTCTGTGTCTGGCCTCTTTCACTTAGCGCAAGGTTTCAAGGTTCATGCACGTCATGGTGACCAGAACTTCATTTCTTTTTATAGCTGAGAAATACCCCATTGTGTGGCTAGTCTGCGTTTTGTGAAACCATTTATTGGTGCTGGGACACATGGGCTGCTCCCTCCATGTGGCTATTAGAACAATGCCATGGTGGACATTTGTGCACATGTTTTTGTGTGGACACGTTTTCATTTTTCTTGGGTGGAGTAGAATTGCTAAATCATAGGATACATCTATGTTTAACATTTTGAGGAACTGCCAAACTGTTCTCCAAGGCGATTAAATCATGTTGTGTTCCCGCCAACAACATAGGAGTGTTCGAACTTATCCACGTCCTCACTAACACGGATTATCGGCCTCACTGACGCTGTTCCAGAGACAGTGTGGAATGATGCCTCACTGTGAGTGTGTTTTGTGCTTCCCTAATGAGTAGTGACATGCCACACCTTTTCCTGTGCTATTTGCCATTTGTATCTCTTCTTTGGAGACATGTCTATCATTTTTTAAATGGGGTTAATTATCCCTTTATTACTGACTACTGATTTTGTATACTGATCTTATAGCCTACTATTTTGCTTAAGTCACTCATTAGTTCTAGTAGCTTTCTAGAAGATTCTGTTAGATTTTCTACAGGGATGGCCATGACCCTGTCTTACTTCTTCCTCTGCAATCTATGTTTTGTTTTGTTTTGTTTTCCTTTCCGTGCCTCATTGCACCAACTAGAATAGAGACGCTTTGAGTAGGCACTGCTGCTGGTTCCTTCTCTTGGGGGAAAGCGGGCAATCTTCTGCTAGGAAGCAAGATGCCTGCTGCATCTGCTTCGGAGACGCCCCTTTATCAGACTGGGAACATTCCCTTGTGCTCTCATTTGGCTTGAGTTTTTATTATAAATGCATAACGGATATCAGATTTTTTTCTGTGTCTATGGAGATGATCATATGGCTTTTCTTTTTTAGCTTGTGAATGTGGTGAAATGCACTGATCTTTCAAATATTCAGTTGATCTTGCGTTACTGGGATAAACTCCACGTTGTCATCATGTATTATTATTGTACATATTACTGTATCCAGTTTGCTAAATGTTTGCCTCTATGTTCATGAGGGGTATTGGCCTGTAGTTCTCTTGTGATATCTTTGTTTGGTTTTGGTATCAGGATAAGCCTCGTAGAATGTGTTAGGAAATGTTCTCTGGTCTTCGGTTTCCTGGAAAAAGTTGTACAGAGTCAGGATTCTCTATTTGTTGACTGCTGGGTGAAATTTACCAGTGAAACAATTTGACCTGTCATTTCCTTTGTCGGAAGGTTTTTGAACTACAAGTTTAATTTTCTTAACAAATACAGGGCTCTTTGGTTTATCTATTTTTTTAGTGACTTTAATAATTCGTGTCTTTCAAAAAAATGTATCCATCACATCTGAGTTGTCAGATTTATTGACCTGAATGTTCTGAATAGTCCCTTTCATCCTTTTACATATTTATAGAATCTCCTTCTTTCCCAATCTTGCTAATTTGTGCAGTCTCTCTCTTTAGTGATTAGACAGGGGAAAGATTAATCAATTTTATGGATTTTCTGAAATCATGTGTGCAGAGCAGCCACGGGATAGCACGGCCTCTGCACGCTGTGGGGTGTTCATCAGCTGGACAGGCAGCTGCCACCTGGACAGAGTGAAACCCACCGCCTGAGTTCTGGAGTAATTGTCCCAAGGAGGACCTTTCCACTCTGGGTTGTCCTGGAAAGAGGCTGCTCCTCGTCTAGGAAGTGAGGTCCTGGGCAAAGACCTCAGTGGGAGGGAGGAGACATGATCTTCCTGAGTCTCAGCCCCAAGGCACCAGCCTGGATCCCTCGGTGTGCTGCCCAGAGCTCGTCAGGCACTGATGAGGATTGAGAGGAGGGCAGGGGGGAGCACCCACGTACGACAGGACACACACACACACACACACATTCCCCTCCTGAGACATTTGCATCCAGGGAACATGCAGGCAATTCCTTGTTTGTGCAACTAAAACTCCAGAGTCCCCCAAAGTGAAAACAGCAGGCGGCTCCGAAGTGAACTGCAACTACCACCTCTTCCGAGACAGAAAACGCTCAGTACTGGGAGGACAGGGTTTCCAGATTTTTCTTCCCCAAGTAGGTTCCAAAAATACCAAGGCACTGAGTTTCAGCCAGGGCACGCCTCGCACCTGGCCTGGTCCCGGGGATCAGGATGCACTCTCCGCACGGAGCCCTCTTCTTGGTGGCCTCTGCGGCCTCTGCAACGGAGCTTGTCCTGGGACAACAAAGGTCTTAATCTGGCAGCTCCTCAAATGACCAGCCCTGGGAAGGGAACATGGTCATGAAAATAATAAGAAAGAAAAAGGACTACAGCAAAACAGAAAACCTGATTTAAGACAGCAGGACTTTTGAATCCTGATACAACAGGTTATCAGAAGAACGAATAAATTAAACTTACCAATTAAAAGACACAAGAGTATGGATGGAGTTAAACGATGTTACCCGCGAGAGACACAGAATAGTTGACAATAACAGGAAGGGAAAATGCAAGCCAATTGTATGTGGACTGAAAGAAGGCTACAAAAGGATTAAAACATTAAGCCACAATGCAGCTTTCTGACAGTCAAATGATCAACATACAGAAATATATTTTCCAACCACAGGGCAAAAAAAAAATTAGAAATTAAGTCACAAAAGGGATAGTGCAAATATTGTATGTTTGGAAACCAAATAGTCTATTACCATAAATTTGGGGTTAAAGAGATAATCATAATTATTAAAAAGTAATAAAAACATTGCACATTAGAAGGACGGGGCAGAGTGAAGCAGCTGTTACTGAGAGGTGTACGGTACTAAATACATTTCTCACAAATTATGAAATTGGATGTCTACGCAGATGTTTTGCCTGTTTCTAACGGAGCTGTTTTTGTCATTAATTTTTTAGTTCCTTTTCCATTCTGGGTTCAATCTTTCATCAGTGATATGGTTTGCAAATACATCCTCCAGATCTGCGACTTATCTTCCGATTTCTTGTTAGTGTCTTTTGAAGCACACATTTGAAAAAAATTCGATGAAGTTCACCCTATCAATGTTTTATTTTACGATCTTATTTTTGATGTCATGGCTAAGGAATTGCACCTGGCCCACAGCTTCCTTGACTTTCTCCCATGTTTTCTACAAGTTTTAGTTCCCGGTTTTCATGTAACCCTCTTTGTGTTAATTCTTGTGGAGGACATGAGATAGGGTTCCAAACTTCTTTCTCATGTGGCTATCCAGATGTCCCAGCACTATTTGTGGAAAAGACTGTCTGTCCCCCGACTGAGTTCTGTTTGTTGCCTTTGTCAAAAATCAATTGACAATCTACATAAAACGTTTTTTTTTTTTCCTGGACTTTTGATCCTGTTTCATTGATCTGTGTGGCTACAGTGAAACCAATACGAGACTGTCTTTGTTACTAAATTTTGTTCTTTTAAAAAATTGTTTTATCCATACCGGGTCCTTTAAGTTATTTTTGTCATGAAGTTTTTAGCTCTTTTTTCTATTCTGGATACAATCTTTTATCAGTTATATGATTTGTCAATATTTTATCCTAATCGGTGGCTTTCCTTTCATTTTCATTTGTAAATATTAGGATCAATTTGTCAAATTTTGCACAAATGCCTGCTGGATTTTGACAGGGATTATATTGGATTTACAAATTGCCATGTTAACGTGATTGTGCCTCTGGCCCATGAACACGGGCGGCCTCCCCAGTTGCTCATGTTTTCTTTAATTCCTCTCAGCAGGATTTGGGGGTTTTAGCATTTAACTCTTATACTTCTTTGGTTACGTATATGCTTCTGTATTTTATTCTATTATTATTTAAAATTTTCTTAATTTCATTTTCAGATTGTCTATTACTAATGTATAGAAATTCAGTGGATTTTTGTGTATTGATACTACACTCTGCACCTTTGCTGGATTTTTTATTAGTTCTAACAGGAGTGTTTGTGTTTATTCTGCTTAGGGCTCTCCAAAATTCTCAAATATGTGATTTTTTTTGTCTTTGACTAGCTTTGGGAGACTCTCAGCCACCATCTCTCCAAGTAGCTTTTCTTCCACGATTTCTTCTTTCCTCTTAGGATCATAAGTGGACATTCACTAGAGTGTGTTGAAGTGTTTTAAAGGTCTTGGATGCTTGATTTAGTTCTCTCTCTTTGTCTTTTTTCTCTTTGTGTTCATTTTGGATGACTTCTACTCACCTGTCTCCCAGTTTATGGATTCTTTCCTTAGTTCTTTCCAGTGTGTTAATTAGCCTATGATAAGAATGTTGATATTGTTGGTGGGGGGGCGGTGGTGGAGAGGCTATTTCCATTTGACTTTTGTTTTTTTTGAGACAGGGCCACGCTCTGTTGCCCAGGCAGGAGTGCAGTGGTTCGATCACAGCTCACTGCAGCCTCTAACTCCTGGGCTCAAGAGATCCTCCTGCCTCAGCCTCCAAAGTAGCTGGGACTATAATCCCAGCACTTTGGGAGGCCAAGGTGGGTGGATCACCTGAGGTCAGGAGTTCAAGACCAGCCTGACCAACATGGTGAAACCCCGTCTCTACTAAAAATACAAAACATAGTTGGGCATGGTGGCACACGCCTGTAATCCCAGTACTGGGGAGTCTGAGGCAGGAGAATCACTCGAACATGGGAGGCAGAGGTTGCAGTGAGCCAAGATCACACCACTGCACTCCAGCCTGGGCAACAGTGTGGGACTCCATCTCAAAAATAAATAAATAAAAACAGTGTTCTAGTTTTTTTCAGTTTTCATTTATCTGTTGAAATTCCTCACCTGTTAATGCATATTGACTAAACATACCCATCACAGTTATTTTTATTTATTTATTTGTTTTTTTGAGATGGAGTCTAGCTCTGTCACCCAGGCTGGAGTACAGTGATGTAATCTCAGCTCACTGCAAGCTCTGCCTCCCGGGTTCGAGCGATTCTCCTGCCTCAGCCTCCCGAGTAACTGGGACCACAGGCACCTGCCACCATGCCCAGCTAATTTTTGTATTTTTAGTAGAGATGGGGTTTCACCTTGTTGGCCAGGCTGGTCTCGAACTCCTGACCTCATGATCCGCTCACCTCGGCCTCCCAGAGTGCTGGGATTGCAGGAGTGAGTCACCGCACCTGGCCTGTGAGTTATTTTAAAGTCCCTGTGCAACAGTGTCAACATTGGAGTCATCTCAAAGTTGGATTCTATTAATTGTTTTATCACATGGCCATGGTTCATTTTACCTTCCTTCCTTGCTATCTCATAAATTTTAATTGAATTTCAGACACTGTGTCCAGAGAATAATAGAGACGGAGGCAGGTAGCCTTTATGCCCCAGATGGCTTTGGATCCCCTTCTTCTGGGTATGAATGTGGGATCTGTGCCAGCCTGGGCCATGGGTGGGCCGGGTCAGGGTGAGGTGTGGCCGCCATTACCTCAGGGCGTCAGAGACTGCGAGGCCTCCTAGGCAAGCTCACCCTTACCTGGTGCTGAAGCCTGGGGCTGGGGACCAGGGAGGATTTTCTTTTTTCTTTTTTTGAGACAGAGTTTTGTTCTGTCGCCCAGGATGGAGTGCAGTGGCGTGATCTCAGCTCACTGCAAGCTCCACCTCCCGGGTTCATGCCATCCTCCTGTCTCAGCCTCCCAAGTAGGTGGGACTACAGGCGTGTATCACCACGCTGGGCTAATTTTTTTGTATTTTTATTAGAGATGGGGTTTTGCCACGTTGGCCAGGCTGGTTTCGAACTCCTGACCTCGTGATCTGCCCGCCTTGGCCTCCCAAAGTGCTGGGATTACAGGTGTGAGCCACCACGCCCGGCCCCAGGGAGGGTTTCCTCAGTGCCCCTACAGCTCCATTGCAGCAGGCCCTTCATGCCTGAACCACAGAGGTGGTTTTCTCCATGTTCTTGCCCCTTCGTTCATTTTACGCAACAGATATCTATTGAGCAACTGCCATGTGCCAGACACTGAGCTCAAGTATGGTTTATTCTAGCGAGGCAGGAAGAGCAGTGGGTCTATTTATGTGATTCTGGAAATTCACAAAGGATGAAACCTATGACTACTCAAGTATTAGCTGCAAAAGCTGGTAAAGTTCAACAAAGTTCGAAAGCTTGCTATGGTTCAGCATTCGTTTATGTTAGAAAAAAAGAAAAACTTGAAAAGCTATTAATATCTAACTTCTGAAGAATATCCCTCGGGAAGTGATATTAAAAGTCACATAGAAACATTAGGAGAAGCAGCTACTACCTGTCTTATTAAACATTGTTTTGAATGATAGCATTGGGACACACTAAAAACTAAATACAGTTCAAAATATTTAAAAGGAAGAAATGAAACAACTAGAACAAAAGCTGAGTAAAGATACAACATTATAAATCAACGGATTTTCTAGACACTATGTAGAGAAAATACCACATGACAACATTTCCCATTTATAATTTTAAAATTATAGAATTCTATGGGCAGCCGGGCACAGTGGCTCACACCTGTAATCCCAGTACTTTGGGAGGCTGAGGAGGCCAGGTCACTTGAGGTCAAGAGTTCGAAACCACCCTGGCCAACATGGCGAAACCCAGTCTCTACTAAAAATACAAAAACTTAGCTCGGCATGGTGGCTCATGCCTATAATCCCAACTGCTTGGGAGGCTGAGGCAGGGGAATCACTTGAACCCAGGAGGCGGAGGTTGCAATGTGCCAAGATTACACCATTGCACTCCAGCCTGGGCAATGAGAGTGAAACCCCATCTCAAAAAAAAAAAAAAAAAAAGCCTCCTACCCATAAGATGTAAATAAATGGAGAGATATAACAGGCTTCTTGATTGAGAACACTTACAACTTCAGGTCTCTAAAAATCAACCTATGGATTTAATTATATTCCAATTAAAATAAATAATTACTTTTATCTTGCCAAGTTTTCTCTAAAATTCTCATCAAAATGTATAGGCAAGTGTAGCCATTAAATTTTGGGGGGATGTCTTTATAATTTTTTTAAATTTTTATAGCCATTAAAAATTTAAAAGCAAAATATAAAGGAAGAAGAATGAGTGGTGATTTCCCAGACAGCTATCAGAACAGACTATAAAGCTACAGTTATTAAAACAGCACTGCCTTGCTTCTGGATTACATAAATTGAAGGAGGAAGTGGAGCCGGGCCCTGGCAGCCTTCTCAGTGTAACTCAGGACCCCGTGGACGGGGTGTCTGAGCCAGCAGGAAGAGACAGGGCCTGCTGCAGAGGACGTAACAACAGAACCACGCACCTGCAGCAAGGCAGTCCCATCTCCGTCTCAGCTGAGACACAGAGCAACCACCCAGCTAGGCAGTCCCATCTCAGCTGGAGCACATCCACGAGGAATCCAAATGCACACAAAAAAATAAAAGTACAAAATTCCTGGAAGGACATGTGGGGAATGTATTCCCGATATTGGGGGGGCCTTAAAGCATGGCGCGAAACACAAGCATTGTTAACGGAGTGTCTGGGAGATTTCACTGTTTCAAAAGGAAACACTTCTTTATTGAAAATCACAGTAAAAAAATGACATAGTACAGATTCAGAGAAAATGTTTCTTACAAATATAACAATAAAAATTAATATCTCTGATATCCAAATTGATTATACAAATCAATAGCAGCTCAGTAGAAAAATGGACTAAACGTATGAATATTAATTCTCACACTTTTTATGGAATAATGTTTAGAAAAAGAAAAACTTTAAAATTCACAGAGGGGCTAAGTTTTAGGGAATAGTTTTGAGTGTCATCTATATAGTTTTTCTCAATAAATATATTAATGTAGTAAATTACATTGAGTGCTTTTATATTTTAATTTAGTTTTTCCTAAATTGATCTAGATAGATTTTTTATCAAAAATACCAGGAATACATATTAATCAACACACCAAAATATCAAAAATATTTTTTATTAGATAAATTGATTCTAAAATGTGTACAAAGGGGCAAAGGAACTAGAATAGCTAAATGATAAAAGAAGAAGAAAGGAAGAATCGTGCCCCTCAATGTTAAGAGTTACTCAAAAGCTCCCGTAATCAAGAGTGTCACCGTGGGTGTGGGCACAGCAGCTCATGCATGTAATCCTAGCACTTTGGGAGCCTGAGGAAGGAGGATCTCTTGAGGCTAGAGTTCTAGACCTGCCTGGGCTACATAGTGAGACCTCATCTCTAAAATTAAAAAAAAAAAAATTAATTAAAATTAAAAAAATAGAAAATTGAAAAAGAGAGTGTCACCCCAGGGAAGAGAGAGAGTGGAGGTAAAGGGGCGTGCAGACCCCCAGGATCACGGCCACCTGGCCTCCCACAAGGGACCAAGAGCCGTCAATGCCAGAAGAGCCGCTTTCCCAACAAGCCATGCTAGAGCAGACTCATGGGTTCAAAAATGGCCGTAGACCTACACGTTCATATGAAAATTAACTCAAACTGGGGCTGGGCACAGTGGCTCATGCCTGTAATCCCAGCACTTTGGGAGGCCGAGGCTGGCAGATCACTTGAGATCGGGAGTTCGAAACCAGCCTGGCCAACATGGTGAAACCCTGTCTCTATGAAAAATACAAAAATTAGCTGGGCGTGGTGGCAGGCACCTGTAATCCCAGCTACTTGGGAGGCTGAGGCAGGAGAATCGCTTGAACCCAGGAGGCAGAGGTTGCAGTGAGCCAAGATCATGCCACTGCACTCCAGTCTGGGCAACAGAGAGAGACTCGTCTCGAAATAAATAAATACATTAATAAACAAAAATTATCCAGGCGTGGTGGCAGGCACCTGTAATCCCAGCTACTTGGGAGGCTGAGACATGAGAATCATTTAAACCTGGGGGTTGGAGGTCGCAGTGAGCCAAGATCACGCCACTGAACTCCAGCCTGGGAGACAGAGTAAGACTCCGTCCCCCCCCAAAAAAAAAAAAAAAGTAAAAATAAAGGAAATTAACTCAAATTGGATCAAAAACAATAACACTTTTAGAATAGAAGAAAGTGTCCAGGACCTGGGGCTTGGCAAGGACTTCCTAGATATAACATCAAAAGCATGATTCATATATATTTTAAATCAATGAATTAGATCTCATTGAAATTAAAAACTTTTATGCCGTGAAAGATCCTGTTAGGATGGATGAAAAGATAAGCTGTGGGCTGGGAGAAAATGTTTGCAAAACCCATGTCTGACAAAGGACTCGTATCTAGAATATAAGAAGAACTCTCAAAACTCAACGGAACAGGGCCAAATAATCCAATGAAAGAAGGATCATGGAGACAAGGTGGAGATGGCAGATGAAGTCACAAAACGGCCTTCAACCCGCGTGGCCCCAGGGAAACACAGGCTGGGACCATGACCCAATATTTCTCCGTACCTATTAGAACAGCTAACGCAAAATATAATAACAAGACCAAATGCTGGCAGAGATTCGGAGAAACGGTATGACATTCACTGCGTGTGGAATGTAACATGGCGCACCCACCATGGAAAAGAGTTTGACAGTTTCTTAAAAAAGCGAAACAGACTCTGACCATTTGACCCAGCAGTCACACTCCTGGGCATTTGTCCCAGAGAAAGAAAGATTTATGTTCACACAAACACCTATACGTGATTGCTCATGGCAGCGCTATTTGTAATAGTCAAAAGCTTCAGTAGGTGAATGGTAAACAAAGAGGTCCTTTCCTACCAGGGGAGGCTACTTATCAGTAAAAAGGAACTAACTGTTGACACAGGAAGCAGCTTAGATGGTCTCAAGGGCATGTTCCTGAGTGAAGAGCTCATCTGAAAGGGTCCCACGCATTCCATTTACATCACATTTGCAAAATGACAAATTTATAGCCATAGGAAAAGGCCAGAGGGTGTGAGGAGGAAGGAACGGGGACATGGGCAGTGAGTCTCTGGGATGAGGCAGCCCCGGAGATGGCCGTGGCAGTGGGACAGCTCTGTGTCCTGTTCCTGGTGGTGTGTACACAAATTCCCACATCCTACAACATGGCAAAAACCCAGATACACACACTGTAGCACGGTCAGCTTCCTGGCTTAGACACGCACTCCAGCTAAGGGAGACGAAGCCGTTGGGAAAACTGGTTGAGGGGCATGTGGAAATCTCTGTACTAGTTTTGAGACTTCCTGTGAATCTGTAATGATTTCAAAATAAAATCTTTAAAAGAAATCACGAGCTTGATAAAGAGAATATACATTGTATGCTGCCTTTTGAATAAAAAAAAAATTAGACATGCAGGTATTCCGTTATTGTTGCAAACAGAAACCACGGGAAGAAGGAGACAGAACTCATGGACTCGGTGAGTGGAGAACAGAAAGTTTGAGCGTCTGAGGTTACTTAACGATTTCACATTTAAAAATTATTTAAATTAAGTAAAAAAGGATACAGAACACATAAATGGAACACAAGAAAACAAACAAATGGGCATTTTCAACGCATAAATGTTTAGGAGTGGAGACCGACCAAGAGCCGCCTTGCACCGCAAATGGGCCCTGAGGTCCAGGGCTGCAGGAGCAGGGTGGGGAGCCCGGCCAGATGGAGGGGCAGACACCGGCACCCGCTGCCTACGTCACCGCCCTCAGTGCTGCCCACAAGCGGGTGCCCCACTGGGTCCCGCCACCCCAAATCCCAGTGCCGGAGCGGGGCCCGGCTCTGCCACCCGCTGCCACCCGGTGTGGCACCCAGGCCCTGCTGGCACAAGGCCACGGCTAATCTGCTCTCAGAGGAAGCTGAGGAGGTGAGGAGGCAGCCCTGCCCTCGGTGTTTCCCAAGCCCCCTTATCCCAGCAGATTCTTCTCGGGGAAGATAAGCTCCCAGCTTAGCCAGGGCGGGTGGGAAGTCAGAGCTGCTTCCTTAATTGGCATTTTCCAGTTGAGAGCACATTCTCTACCTTTTTCACTTGGATCAGCTAATTGCCAAATGTTTTCATTTTTGAGAAGAAGTAAAATTGCAGAGATTTGGGATTTAGGGAAGGAATGCAAGGATCAATTTTGCCTAATTACGAAATGTCTCGGCGGTCACTGTGACGGGTCCCAGAGTCGGCCGTGTGGACCCCGGGGCCTCCCGGGCGGTGGGGGGCCGGGGGCTCTGATGCAGATGTTTACCTGATGTCGTGGGCCTGAATCTGGTTTACATTGGAAATCAGACTGTTTACAGGCCAGCACATCTGCCTCTTCCTCTGGCTCTCCTTCATTCTGCTGTAATGTTCTGCAGGTCTCGCTGGGGTCTCTGTGGGAATATCTGTGACACGGAGTGAGCCAGGCCAGCCCGGGGCGGCCCCATCCGGGGACAGCAGCTCACGGCCTGGCCCCGCGTGCGCAGCCGGGGCCTGGGTTGGCGGTGGAGATGGGGAGGGTCTGGGGGCCCCTGGGTGGGTGGTGGGGGTACCGTCAGCCCGGCTGCAGGGTTCCAGCGGAGGACAGGGAGCCTTCTCCATCCCTGAAAACCATCGCGGGGACAGTGGACTCATCAGGATGCCGGGACCCTCTAGTGTGTTCTGGAAGCAGAGGCTGGGTGTGGGCACGGGAACCTGTGATTGTCCCCAGACACCGAGAGGCCCACAGGACCCCCAGTGCCCAGACCCCGGCTGCAGATCGGGGGGTCCAGTCATGTGTCGGGGAAGGAGGAGGGGAGCAGGGGCCACAGACAGGGGGTCCAGGAGGGCAGGGGGTCCAGGAGGGCAGAGGACCCAGGACAGCAAAGGGTCCGGGAGGGCAGAGGATCCAGGAGGACAGGGGGTCCAGGAGGGCAGGGGGTCCAGGAGGGCCCAGGAGGGCAGGGGGTCCAGGAGGACAGGGGGTCCTGGAGGGCAGGGGGTCCAGGAGGGCAGGGGGTCCAGGAGGGCAGAGGGTCCAGGAGGGCAGAGGGTCCAGGAGGGCCCAGGAGGGCAGGGGGTCCAGGAGGACAGGGGGTCCTGGAGGGCAGGGGGTCCAGGAGGGCAGGGGGTCCAGGAGGGCAGAGGGTCCAGGAGGGCCCAGGAGGGCAGGGGGTCCAGGAGGACAGGGGGTCCTGGAGGGCAGGGGGTCCCGGAGGGCAGAGGGTCCTGGAGGGCAGGGGGTCCCGGAGGGCAGAGGGTCCTGGAGGGCAGGGGGTCCAGGAGGGCAGGGGGTCCAGGAGGGCAGAGGGTCCTGGAGGGCAGGGGGTCCAGGAGGGCAGGGGGTCCAGGAGGGCCCAGGAGGGAAGGGGGTCCAGGAGGACAGGGGGTCCAGGAGGGCAGAGCCACAGCAGGCTGGGTGCTGCTGCTACAGGGGGCTTCACCCCAGCAGCCCCCTGCACTGCCCCTCTGACAGCCTCCACCTTTGACCCCCCAGAACAATGGGCTGCTGTGGCGGCTCTGGAGGCTGCGGCCCCAGTCATGGGGCCTGCGGCTGCCATGGGCTGAGACCCTGCTGCTCTTCGTGGAGACACTGATGTCCTTACCAGATCTCCCGGGCCCGCCCTCAGCCTCCAGGCTGACCAGGCTTCCTGGGCCTCCTAGGACACAGCCCTGGGTCTCCTCCTCTAGGATACTGGATGGGAATCTGCGGCTTCCAACATCCACCTGCCCGCCTTCCCCTCTGCCCTGTCCCCTTGCTGCCATGGCCGCCTTTGTCCTCCCTGGAGATTCAGAGAGCAGCCCCGTTCTCAGTTACCTGGCCTTCTGGGTCCTTGGGAGGTTCTGACCTCTTCCCAGCAGGGGCCCTGGGGGCTGCGTCCTGCCTGGTCCAGGCCTTCTCACCCTCACCTCCCTCTGGGCTCAGGGAGCTGGGGCCACACAGCCCAGAGAGGCTGGTCTGCCCAGGACAGGCCACCCTCCTCCTGCTCCCAGGAGTGCCTGCAGCCCTGTCAGTTTCCAAGAGTGTCTCCTTCAAGCAGCCTCGTCAGGTCGAGCCACCCCCAGTGCCCTCTCTCCTCTGGCAGCCGCGCTCCCTGCCCTTCCTCCCCACCTGCTCAGTCCTGCAAAGCCTCCTGCCTAGCTGGACACCTGGGGGTTCTGTATCCCACACTCCAGGGGCCTCCTTCACATGTCGGTGACCTCTGACACTCCAGGGGCCTCCTTCACATGTCGGTGACCTCTGACCGCTGTTTCAGACCCACAGCTCCTGGGTGCACTCAGCCTTGGGTCCCGATGGCACCAGAGTGTTCCACGCCTGGGGCAGCGCACTCATTGCAGATCTGGCCTGAGACTCAGCAGCCGGGCACCCCATGAGATCTACTTTCTGAATGGCGTCGTCACCTGACTGGGCATACAGGCCACGGACCCCATGGTCATTTGGGCACTGACCCCTCTCACACCCCCCAAATCCCACCTGAGAGCAGCCCATCAGGCAGGCCCCATATATTGGATGCCTCTAAGTATCAGCCTTGATGTCCCTCTAATTCCAGCCCTGGTGTCTTCTCCCTGGGACACCCTGCTGCTCCCTCTAGCTGTGCCCTCCACGGTGACTCCAGACATGCGGATTCAGCCTCTTCGCTCCAGGACCAAACTCCTCAGCAGCTCCCACTACTCCCAGCATGCCATCCAGCTCCTCAGCCCAGCAGCAAAGACAGGCACAGAATGGCTCCCGAACCCATCGCTCCGGTCCGGAGAAGGAGCCCTCCACCCTCCACGCTCCATTCGCTGTCCCCTTGCGGGCCCCTGTGAGGAACCCCAGCCAGAGGCACCAATGGCCGCCACTGACTTTCACCCTGTCCTGAATCACAGGACCAAGGAGGCTGCCCCGACAAGGGTCGCTTCCAGACTCACTCCCTGTCAGCCACTGCCACATGCCTGCCGTGGGCAGCATTGGAGGACAGGGGGTACTCTGTCAGTCAGCCTAACAGGCTGGTCCGTCCTTCCTTCCTTCCTTCCTTCTTCCCTCCCTCACTTCCTTCCTTCTTCCCTCCCTGCCTCCCTCCCTTCCTTCTCTGCTCCCTCCCTCCCTCCTCCCTCCCCCTCCTTCCCTGCCTCCCTCCTCCCTCCTTCTCTGCCTCCTTCCTCCCCCTTCCCTTCCTTCCTTCCTTCTCTGCTCCCCCCCTCCCTCTTTCCCTCCCTCCCTCTTTCCCTCCCTTCCTCCTCCCTCCTCCTCCCTCCCTCCCTTCCTTCCTTCTTTCTTTCCTTCCTTCCTTCCTGCTTCTCTCCCTTCCTCCCTCCCTCACTTCCTTCCTTCCTTCTTCCCTCCCTGCCTCCCTCCCTTCCTTCTCTGCTCCCTCCCTCCCCCCTTCCCTGCCTCCCTCTTCCCTCCTTCTTTGCCTCCTCCCTCCCCCTTCCCTTCCTTCCTTCCTTCTCTGCTACCTCCCTCCCTCCTCCCTCCCCCCTCCCTTCCTTCCTTCCTCTCTGGTCAAATGCGGGTACATGAGAGTTCCCACCATCCCCATGGTAAGTGCACAGTTCCGTGGCATTGGGAACCTGCACGTGGCTGTGCCACTGTCGCCACCATGCAGCTCCAGCACCTTTTCATCGCGCGAAACTGGAGCTCCGTCCTGACTAATCACTCACTCCCATCGGCCTCTGTCACTGGCCCTGCTGACTACCATTCTGCCATCTTCCTCTTGAATCTGACTCCTCTGGGGGCCTTCCATCTGTGGGGTCACAGCATTGGTCCTATTGTGACTGGCTGGCTTCACTCGGCACGAGGCTGTGAAGGTTGGTGGCGTTGCTGCAGGCGTCAGAGCACACTCCTTTTCCAGGCTCCGTAAGACCCCGATGTGTTTGTCTACCCCATTTCAGATCCCCTCACCTGCTGGGTTGTTTCCACCTTTGGGCTATTGTGACTGCACGGCTGTGAGCATGGGTGTCTGAGTCCATTCTGTGTAGCCATAAAAGAACCTCTGTGATGGGGTAATTCATCAAGCTCACAGTTCTGCTGGCTGAGAAGTTCAATGGCATGGCCCTGGCTTCTGCTGGAGGAGGTCAAAGGGGAAGCAGACACGGGAAGAGAGATAAAGCTCAGGGATGTCTTGGCTTCAGAACAAGCCCCACTCATGGGAACAAATCCATTCCCATGGGAACTCACCCTGTATCACAAGAGGAGAATCACTCCCAGCACCACGGACTCCCCAGGGAGTCACTCCCACGACCCACACGTCTCCCTCCCCTCAGGCCCCACCTCCCTACGCTGCCACACTGGGGGTCCCGTTTCAACAAGAGTTTTGCTGGGAACAGATGCACTGACTACATCCAGGTCGTGGTAAGGGCTGTGCAAGTATTTGAGTCCCTGCTTTGATTTCTTTTGGGGATAGACCTAGGAATGGAATGGCGGCTTCGCAGGGTAATTTTGTGTTTACCTGTTTCTGGAAGGAGCACACTGAGCTGGCCAGAGCAGGCTTGTGTTTTCCTCTGTGCTCCTTCCTGCTTCCCAGGATGCAGATGAGATGGCAGGTGCCCCAGCAGCCCTCGCCAACCATAAGGCATGGATTCCTCACCTTCGGCTCGGGGAGCACAGAGACTGAGGGCCGTGGACTCGGGGTGAGATGGTGGCACCTCCATCACAGACCCACAGTCTCTGTGTCCAGCCCTTCCGGAAAGATGACAGAAATGAAAAGTCTGCCTTATGGAAGACAAGGTTATTCAGAATTTTCGGTTCTGTATGGTCTCCTTAGAAACATTAGCAGACTTTAAAAAATGAAAATAGCCCATGTTCATTGTGAAAAAGTGAGCCATGGCCTCCGGGGCACCGGAGCCACAGAGCCACCACGCTTTGCTTTTGTTTCTCACTCCCCTACTCTCCCCACATAGGCACCGACGCTTTCCCTGACAGCATCATCATCACCCAACTAGGGCAGCTGACCCGCGTCTTCCTCACGACGTGGAATGGTTTGAGTCAAGGGTTTTCATGGCCATGAGCCACGTGGAGGCTGTGCCTTTTGTTTCCTGTGAGAAATCTTCAACCAGCGCCACTCTCAGCCTCCCCTCTGCCAGCGCTTCTGTGGCTGCACCTGCATTCGTGGGCTGTGGCTGCGAAGCACAGGAATAATTGATGGCTCTGGGGCACTTTGCTGGGCTGCTTCCAGAAAAGTTGACCCCTCCCTGCAAACCAGCACTGCCCAGCATTCTTGTCCCGCCAAGCCTGACTGTGAGCTGTTGTGACGTTGCCACTTTGCTCGGAAAGGACCCCTTACCTTTTATTTCCCTTGCATTTCTTTCAATTCTACCATTGACCATTTCTCATACGTGTGGTCATCATTGTATTTCGCCCCCATTTTGTGAGGTTTAGTGTATTCTTAAAGTTTCCTGGGTTTTGATGAGAGCATATTCTGTCATTATATTTAACAGGTGTTTTCCCCAGCTTGGATGTGTTTGGCCATTAGCTTCTTTTCTGCTATTTTACACTAGTCTGTTATTCTTCACTACAAAAGGACTCTGCCGAGGGTCCCCATGCTCCCCATGCTTCGGGGTGTGAGGTAGCAGGGGAAGGCAGGTGTCCTTCCTTCTTTGAAGTGCGGGTTGGGGCAGGACAGCAGACCCTGGGGTCACTGCTGAGGAGGGGAAGGATGGGATTAGGACTGTTCTCTTCCTGGCCTCATGAGCTCCCCCAGCTCCTTCTGGTGGTTGGAGAAGAAACCTCCTGATTGTCACGGAGAGTGAGTTTGTCCGTGGAGCTTTTCCTGCACGGCTCACATAGAACGGGCTGTGAGGTCCCTCCACTGAGCAGCACGTGCCAGGCCGGGTGCCCACGACTGTTGGGAAAACCCAGGCCTGTATTCCAGGAAGCAAAGGTCTTTAGATGAAGGTTTTAAGAATGAAAATTAACCCACAGAATGGTGAGGTCAGTTGGAGCCTGGATTCCATGGGGTAAGACAGCCACAGCCAGGTGGGCATCCTGCTCCTTCCCTTTCCCCTGTCCCTGCCCACCGGCCATGCCCTAGAGTAGGGGCACACTCGGACCCCAGCCCAGCGCCCACCCATGCTGCCTGCAGGCCTGCGAGGTCCCACAACCCCTTGGCATGCAGCGACAGCCCGGGGCCAGGTGTGGGTGAGGCTTGGGATTTCCTGGCACAGCTGACTTCATGTTGTGGCCTGGCAGCCTCGGGTGGTGTCGGCAGATGCAGGAAGCCACGGGCGCAGCTCCCTGCCTGTCCCGGCCGTGGGTGCTAATGCAGAGTGGGTTCTGTGGCTGGTCACACAGGCAGCCGGGTGGGTGCAGGTCATCCCGGGGATGGCCTTGCACTGTCTGATCCCCGGGGAGGGGAGGGTCTTTTCGCTGACCACGCTGTTTGCTGCGTGCTTTTTGTTTGCCAAGGGCTGCAATGTTTGTCGTCTGCCGCAGTGTTTGCTGCCGGGTGAAGAATCGCTGGCCCTGTGTTGTCACCTGGGCCCACCGTGACAAGGTCCCCACCTCTGTTGTGGGACTCGGGGGCAAAGTTCCCTGCTGTTCACGCTGCAAGTGACAAGGGCCTTGGTCTCTGAACCAGGAGCCTCTGAGTCCTGCCCCACAGGGCTGAGCCCTGGCTGGGAGCAATGTTCTTTGGGGGAGACAGCAGCTTCCTCACTTCCATGTACAGCCAGATGCCACGGGATGTGGGGAGTGCGACAGGGCCGTGGGGAGTGTGACAAGGCCTTGGGGAGTGTGACAGGGCTGTGGGGAGTGTGACAGGGCCTTGGGGAGTTTGACAGGGCCGTGGGGAGTGTGACAGAGCCGTGGGGAGTGGGACAAGGCCGTGGGGAGTGGGACAGGGCCGTGGGGAATGGGACAGGGCCGTGGGGAGTGTGACAGGGCCATGGGGAGTTTGACAGGGCCGTGGGGAGTGGGACAGGGCTGTGGGGAGTGCGACAGGTCTGTGGCGAGTGTGACAGGGCTGTGGGGAGTGCGACAGGGCTGTGGGGAGTTTTGAAAGGGCCATGGGGAGTTTTGACAGGGCTGTGCGGAGTGTGACAGGGCTGTGCGGAGTGTGACAGGGATGTGGGGAGTGCGACAGGGCTGTGGGGAGTGTGACAGGGCTGTGGGGAGTGTGACAGGGCTGTGGGAAGTGCGACAGGTCTGTGGCGAGTGTGACAGAGCTGTGGGGAGTGCAACAGGTCTGTGGCGAGTGTGACAGAGCTGTGGGGAGTTTTGACACGTCTGTGGGGAGTGCAACAGGGCTGTGGGGAGTGTGACAGGGCTGTGGGGAGTGCGACAGGGCTGTGGGGAATGTGACGGGGCTGTGTGGGAGCAGGTGGTCCTGTGGGGCATCCCGGGGTCTGTGCTCAGGCTGTGGGAGGTGGGGCTGGCAGGGGATCCTGGAGAAACACCTTTGGGGGCTCAGGTTTGGTGGAGCTCCCACTTCCACAGTGGCTCTGAGTGGGGCCTGAGCAGGTTTTCCTGGCAGTGGCTGAGGGTGGGTGGGCCTGGTAGGTACTGGGCTGCTCAGAAGCCAGCCAGCTCCATGTTGCCCACCTCAGCCTCCCAGGCTTCTCAGGGCCCAGCTGTGCTCTGTCCCTGGGGCCCTTCCCTCCCCGGACACTGCTCACCCCTGGCAAGGGCTCTGCCCTGGGACACACCCTGCTAGACCCTCAGATCTGATCCCAGCCCTTCCCATGTGACTCCCTGGGTGCTCCCAGATGACTGGGATGTGGGGAAGGATCAAAGAGCACTTTGGTTGTCTCTGTAACTCTTCTAGTGATTAGATAAGGGCTGGATTTAAGGATTACTTCTGCAATGCAAATAGATGAAAGGAACAAGCTAAATAACAAACTCTTCCCATTCCCAGAACAAAGTCAGCTCTGGCCTGGTTCCACGTGCCCTGTCCAGCACGTCCCCCAAGCGCAGGCATGGGCCCCCGGACCAGCCGCGGACCCCTCCTCGCGCTTTGCAACGCCTCACAGCTGGCCCCGCACCCCTGGGGCAGGACCACTCCCTCTTCTTATTCTTCTCTGTGTCACCTTCCCAGACTCTGCACATAGTCGGCGCTACATAAATGGTGGCTGCAAAAAGGAGACGAGCAGCAGAGCAATGCCCCAGGGAACAAGAGGGGCGCTGTTGCCAAGGCCAGGGCCAGGGTATCTGCCCTGAGGCCTGAGCCCCACACGACCCAGGGCTCCAGAGCCCCATGGCCCATCTCACTGCTGGGGCTGAACCCCCAGGGCCCCTGCAGCCACTGCCTCAGGAGGTCAGGTTGGGGTGTGGAGTAGGAGGGACGGGTGTTTCCAGGGAATCCCTGTGTAGGTGGGATCCAGAGGGCTTGAAACCCTCAAGCTACCAGCCAGCTCCACGCCTAGGACAGGCCTTATTAGAGTTCAGGATCTGCCAGCTCCCAGGGGCAGCCTCAATGTCCGGGGTGGATGGGGGTTTCTGTGGGTTCACTTCTGCCCCCAGCTGGGATGCCTGGAAGGAGAGCTCAGGGACAGTGTGGCCAGACCCTGACCCAGACAGAAGATTCTGTCTGAGAGACCGGGGACCTTCACAGAGGGACAGAGGCCCAGGAAGCAGCGGCTGCTGCTGTAAGCCTACGGCGAGAGCCATGGTCACAGAAGACCCACTTGTTGCCAGGCGTTTTGCCTTCACAATGGCAAAGTCTCCCAGTGGCCCAGGAGAAAAGGGAATGCTCATTCCATTCTGCCTGCCAGAAAACAGAGGCTGAGGCCCAGAGGCTCAGGCAACCTCCCCAGGTTCACCTCATTTGGAAACAGCCCCTTCCCATCCCCGGTTGCTGCCGCAATCTTCTAAGGGGACTTCCTCAGAGGTCATTAAATGCATTGAAAACTGGTTCTGGTCCTCGACCCTAAGCTGCTGGAGGAGGGGGTGTGGGAGCAGATTCGGGGTGCACCTGTGTGTTCAGGTGAAGGCGGAGGGAAATTAGTCATGGAGCTAAGCTGAACCACCTGCTGGGCCCCAGGCAGGCAAGGCCCTGTGGGCAGGTGGGAAGCCAGAGGCCGCCTCTCACCCCGGGGAGGGGCAGGGGCTGGAGTGACGGTGCAGGGTGAGATTTTGGCCAGGCACAACTCCATCCATCCCTGCATCCCCAGGAAGCCACAGACACCCAGGTTCTGAGAGCCCGGCTCTCGAATGTCCCTCCTCCCCCGACCTCCTTCGGTGCCCCTGGCCATGCCAGCCCTGAGCATGAAGCCTTCAACTTTCCCACGCACCCACTTCCACTCTCCAGGGCTGAGGAGCAGGAAGGAGATGGCTTGGAGGGGTGAGCCCCTGTCCTGTTCTCAGAGGGTCACAGCTACTCACTACCTGCTACGAAGACAGGGAAGGGTGGGAGCCGTTCTAAACCAGCATCAGTGCATGCCACAAAATAGAAGCCGTGCATTACAAACTAGAAACGAGGGCTTGGTTGCAGGCACCTTCCCTAGAGACCCTGGCTGAGCAGAGGCTGGGGTCTGGCTGCGCTGCTCTGACGGTGTGCACGGGCGGGCTAGGCACTCGCCCTGAGTCCCAGAAAGAGGAGCCCACAGATACAAAACTTAAAGGATGTGTTATTTTATTTTTTAATTTAATTTTTGTTTTTTCAAAAGCATCAAAGTCATTGTGATTGGAAGGAATGCGCAAGTTGGTCTGGGGTGCTGTCCCTGGGCGCCGAACCAGCCGGGGACATGGCCCCTGGAGAGCTGCCGACCCCGGGGCTAGGGGAGTGGTCTTGCGAGGAGCCTTTGCTTCCCACTCGCCGGCCGCCCCGCGGGGCCCTCCTGCCACCAGGTGGCGCTTCTCGGCCAGCCCGGGCCGCAGGACCTGCAGTCTCGTTTCCCCAGGAATGGCGACGGCCCTGTTATTCCCATCACAATTTTACAGGTCAGAAAAGGAGACTCGGAGTGCATATATAGCAACTTGGAGAAAGTCGCAAGGGACGAAGGACCCTTCCCCGGACACAGGAACCTTCTGGGGGATGGGGACAGGGACTCAGGTGCAGAGAAAACCAGAGCTGCTACCGTGGGGACAGAAAGGGAGTCTACCCAGAGACAGCAGAGGCAGGAGCTGCCCCCCCTCTTTGCCCCCAGTGGCCCCGAGCGAGGGGTTGCCACCACCTAGAGCCTGGGGACCAGGGGCCAGTGCCTGGGGACGGAGGCCGTGGTCGAGACAGGCGAGGGATGTGGCGGAGACAGGGAGGCCCAGGTCGGCTGGCACAGGGCAAGGAGCAGGCGAGCCGACCCCAGGGCCTTGCCCTTGTCACGCCCCCTGCCATGTTCCTGCTGGCCCCCTTCCTGTTCTGTGAGGTCAACACGCAGGAGAAAGGGGCAGAAGGGAAGGTCTCCCCACACCGAGGGCTCTGCCCGCTTGGGCCAGGGGTTGGGGGGTGGTCATGGCACCAGGGCTGCTCTGAGCTACAGCCCCGAGGGGGGGCCGGGCGATGCCTCCTCCTCCGTGCCAGCCTGTGCCGGGGCCCCTAGGAACCCCCAAGTCCCTGCCTGTGACCTCTGCAGAGCCCAGCAGGCGCCTCCCCGCCCTCGGCCACAGGCTCGGAGCTCACGGCCCCCAGGGGGCGCTCAAGGACTGCTCATCTGCGCTTCTGCCGCGGGCAGCTCTGACCCCTCCCGCTGCGCTCCTCCAGCCGCATCCCTGCAGCCTTGGGCCCTACTGGCCCGGGGGAGGAGGCACTGCGCTTTGGGGAGGAAGAGAGACTAAAGGGGAGACCGAGAACCCCGGGTCAGGAAGCGGAGAGCTAAAACGACAACCGTGGGTCAGCGGAGGCCGGCAACTTCATTTCATGACCTCTGGCCTCCAAAGCAGCTCTGCAAAGTGGTCAATGCTCCTCTCGTTGTGTAGATGAAGATACTGAGGGCCAGGGAGGCTGTGGACTGCCTGATGTCACACGACTGGTGGGGCGGCGGGCGGGTCTGTCCCCAGGCGATTGTCCTCGAGGCACACGGCGGGGCAGAGCTTGGAAGCGGCCGAGGTGGGGGTCCCTGGGTGTGGATGTAGTGACCCCGGAGCCACGTGGAGCCACCTTCAGACCCAGAGCTGAAGCAGGAGGGTGACCGGTAGAGCAAGGCCGTGCACACCCCCGTTGCAGAATTGAAAACGCGCCTCAAAATAAAACCCCGTGTTTCACAAGAATGCACTAATTCCCGAAGATATCCGGGCGCACGGGATGCAGTGGGGATTGGAGATGCAGGGGCCATGCAAGTGAGAAGGACCCTGCTCAGCGTGAGGCTCTGATGGTCTTGAATTC